>NC_000010.11:52567337-52718852 GCF_000001405.40 Homo sapiens
TTATCTTACATCTCGTGGTAAGAGATTTATGTTATTTCTCCCATTAGGTTGATGGAGCTCGTACTTTCTCCCTCCCCGGAAATTTGGTACAGTGCTCTGAAACATTTTAGTACTTAAATATACTACAAGAGCATTAACTTCCTTGATTTTAATTTCTTTCCATTTTGAAACATTTCTTTTTTATAATTATAATTTCAGATAGTAGTCATTGTCCTATTAACTAGTAAGCCTATTTCAAGTGCCTACTATTTATCTAACTCTGTGCCAAAGGCTGAGGGATTTTTCCAACATGAGGATCCTGCAGATGCTTTTCCTTTTGTTTCTTCTAAATAATTGTCATGAGCATATGGACACACTGACTGATCAGATATAACTAACCCATCAGGTATCCCTTTTTCCTTCCCTTGTTATAAACTTAGAACGTATGTTGTGTCTATTCATAAGACCATCTGATGTTCAGTTTTGAGTTAGACTCATTCCTAACTCACTTAATGTACAAATACTTCTTTCTGTTCATTTTTACCTATTCCTAGTTTATATCAATTTAAAATGTTTTATTTATCTTAGAAGTCACTTTAAATCCTTTTGAAAATAAGATGAAGCCAAAGCATAAAAATTAAATTAAAATGTTGGGGGACGGCTACCCAAGAAAAGTTTAGGTATAATTTGTATTCATATGGAGCTTGCAGAACACCTAGAAAGCTGCCATTTATAACCCATCATTTTAAGTCACATTTGCTTATGGCTTCTTGGATGGCTTCCTGGTCCCTTTTTTTTCTCTGGAAGCTTGATAGCAGCAGAAAGTCAGAGCCAACAGATAACTTAGACCAAAAGTTCTAAGCTGGGAGGTTTGTTATAAATGTCTTCCATATAACACTAGCCTCCTAGGCCATTTAAGGCTAGAGTTCAATTAAGCAAAATTTAAATCTAAATGTCAGTGTGGTAGAGAGGGATCCTTACCATAATCTGATTTATCGCTTGGTTATTACGATCATTTTGTTCTATTCTCCACCCTGGACTAATGAAAGACTATTACCATAGAGCCATGACAAGTTTTATTCTCTTGAACTGTCTAGCTTTGTTACTTTCCCTTGCTAATAGTCACTTACTGAGTCAGAGATGCTGCAGACATTGCAAATAGAATGATTCCTCATATGTCACTAGGGATACAGTTTTCTGAGATACAGATCTAGCAAGGGCATGAGAAAGAGAAGAAAGCAAAAAAGAAATCATCTCTGCTAATTCAATTGTGGGTTTCCTTGGATCAAAGACTACCTATTACAGCATACCAAGTTCAAGACTATTCATAGGATGCTGGAGGCCCTCTCCTCATGATTTATATTAAGCACTATACATGGTACACATGTGGCCTCTATGGAAGTATACTTAAATGATTCTTTTTTATCACTGGCAGACTAAGGAATAGCATACAAGGAGGTCTCGTTCTAGTGATGCTGTTTAAGTACTAGAAGGTCAGAGGAAGTGAAGAAAATAAATAGACAAAAGAAGAAAGATGCATATATTGAACAGCAAGTAGGACTAAATCTCAAAGGAGCAAATAAAAATTTCTAGCAAATGACATAACTCCATTTGAATATACAGCCAACAATTAAAATGTCAGGGAATTTGGTTCCCAGGGTTTTAAAACAAAGGGGAAATACTCAAATATCCCATTGGTGGGCATTAGGATTATTTTTAAATGACTATTTTTACCTCTGGTTAAGAGAACACACTTCACTGGGGAAAAATAGGTGAAAAATTGTTGATAGGTATCATTTTCTCAATTCTGCTATTCAATAAGTAATGGCTACAAATTTTAGTATAAAACATATGTGTTCAAAAAATCAAATTTTCTGTATTTGTTATAACTTTACTTCTATTTCAAGCCTATGTTGTTCCATTAGTGGCAGACTCTTAATCACAATCAGTTTAAAATAATCTCGTTGTAATCGGAGTTTCCTCAGGCAACTGAAGCCACCCCTCCTTCACCCAAACTTTTCCCTAGGTCTAGTGTCTAAGTTCTAGGATGTTGATAGACAGCAAAGGCATTGAGAGCAGGAGTGGAAGGGGGAACATAAATCTCCCTCAAGTCATTTGTATACACCAGCATCAGCTGAGAAATTCTTATCCCACCTCTGTTTGTCAATCCAAGAAGATCTCTGCCTTGTCTTCCTTATTCCAGAAAAAGTCAGCCATGTGCTTCTCATTCCACAGCGTGGGCTCTCCAGCCCTGGGTTCTCTCATCCATTTCCATATCCTTCTTGGGTGCATGTGGACATGCGACCTCTCCAAGGTAAACAGAGTTCAGAGGAACCCTATGGGGCTTGTCTCTTCCCAGCCTCTATTCCAAAAGTGATATATAGGACCACCTGACTTCAAAACCCACAAATAAATCTGGTGGCTCTAACGTTCTCCTTCCTACTTAGCCTGAAGGTGTGGGGAAGGGCAGGAAAGCCTTTATAGAGAAAATGAAAAGCCGACATCTAAATATTGTTTTCCCTTTGTTCTTAACCAGCTTGGTTTAGGTTCTTAACCTTGTGGCAGGGTTTCAGCTGGGAGAACATAAGGAAAAATGTCCTTTATTATTTAAGGTATAAGTTTTATGCCCCATGTCTTTTCTAGACAATATTTTATTTCTCAGAACAAGAAAATTGAAATTCAAAACCCAAATATTGACAAACATCTCCCATCTCTCTTTCTCTTCAATGTCGTCTTTCTTCCCTTAGGTACTAAAGATGAAATGTTATAGCTATCCAGGTTGAGGAAAATGCAGTATTTGTTAAAAAAAAAAAAAAAAAAGCATCTCAACAGATCATACAATTATCCATAAATTGTATTGGAATCTTTCTCCTTTTCCCCTTCCTCTCTTCCCTCCCTTTTTTCTTTCTCTTCTTCTTTTTCCTCCAGCTGTTTTTCTAATAGCTTGTTCATTGTTCTTTATTATTGTTTTTGGTTAGAAAGAGAAATGAAAGGTGAAAATTACATCAACTGATGTACTTTGGATGAGAACCAACAAGGGTCAGATTATTGACTGTAATTTTTTGTGCTTTTTCATTTAATTATTTTCTTTGTATTTTTCTGCAAATTTCACCAGGATAATTTACACTGACATTATATGAGCTATTGGAGTTAAGCGTTTAGCTTTTACATTTTGAAATCTGCAGAAAATGTACTAACTTTTTATAAACACTACTGGAAAAAAATTAAGTCTCAAGATCTCTTTCAGCTAAATGAGAAATCAGATAAATGATTTTAAATTGCAAGCTCAGGCTCAGTGCTATAGATACATTGTTTTGACTGCCTAGAATCCTCCTATTCTGAGAGCTGCCACTTCCCCTACCCACATGGGTTATTTTGTACTTGTTCCAAAAGTTGGTAGCTGAGCAAATCTGAGCCAACTCTAGTCATTTCCCTGGTGACAACTAATTGGACCAGGAATAAACAACTTACCCAAGTTGGACTTGTTAACCTCTCTTTGAAAATTTAGAATCAGAAATAGGATTCCAGGTAAGTCTGAGAAGAAGATAAAAATTGGGTATTGGTCGTATTTTTGTTCTACTATATAACACAGATGACAAAAACAAAAACCAAAAAAAACCACCATTACTCATGAATAAACAAGCAAAACAGAAAAAGCAGAAACAGAACAGAAATCCTAAGGGTGCTGGAACTCTTGGTTTCAGTTGTTCCTGAGGCTCAGTTTAAATCTGGATTGCACGTTTATGAAAAACACTAGTACCTTCATTATGAAGTCCTCTTTGGACTTAAGTTTGAGTTTATGTTACTTGCAACCAATCAAGTCCTAACCAATACTCTCCAGTGCCTTTTATGTCAGACTAATTCAGATGGACTATATTACCATACTGCAGAAGGAGCAAATGACTTGGGGTATTTCTCACCAGTCATGTGAAGTCATTTCTCTATCCATGTGGTTTCATTTAGAAATTGAAGCACAAGAAGAAAACCACGTGTTTATAACTTCAAAACTCCAAAAGGAAAATTTATTCTTAGAGACTTTTAAATAATAAGAGAAATACTAACAATGAGACAAGCCTATCTTTACTGAATTTAGAGTTTGACCAGTCAATAGTTTAAAATATCAGAATTTTTGTCACCGTAGCTGGGAAAATTCTGCTGAAGGCTGGAGAATGAATATGTCTGTGCTATTTAAAATAGGTTTTCTGGAATAGACAGTTTAGGCTCTAAAAAGAAGAAAGCAAGTCTTTGTCTACACTTATGGCTTATTCTGTTTAATTAACTCCTTTTCTCCAGAAACACAAATTCCAGCTTGCCCAAAAAAAAAAAAAAGAAAAGAAAACCATAAATCTATGTAAACTGCTGACTGACATAACTTAAACAAGGTAGTTAAAATAGTTGAAATCTCAGCTGTGTGACTGGGGTAAATTACTTAATCTCTCAGTGACTCAGTTGTCTTCTCTATAAAATGAAGATAGGATAGTTGTGAGTTGTAAATGAGTTAATATATGTAAGTCACATATCATAGTGCTTTGCACTTAATGTACACACAGTAAAAGTTCAGTTTATGTTAGCTACTATTTTCTCAAAGAAATACTAGAAAATGGGGTTTTCATATAGAGCTTTTGTTATCCTTGGTGGAAAGTTAATTTGGACTACGATTAGCACTTATACAAATGGGTCTTTCGCAATACTCCATTTATCCTTGTCTCTATCAAGATATTTACAAATGAAAATAAAATAAATTTTTAAATGAAAGAAAATAAAGCAAACTGAATGTAATTTTTAGGAAGAGAAGGGGCTGCCACAAAGTCTAACAATGACTAAGTGGTGAAATTCCAGCATATTTGGGAATGCGCCCTTATGTAGTAGACTTATACCGTACTGTTTTCCTCTCTTCTCTCTCTTTCTTTCTTTCGGTAATGGAACCCTTATTTCTTGTGGAAAACATTCTACATGATCTAGTTGGGAGTGAAGCTGAATCTTCTTCTAAGCCACAGGGTGGGCACATGAGACAGTAAGAATATCTGATCCAGAGCTCTTAGGGAAGACACTCCCTGTAATCCGATGTCAAAATTTGGTTGTCAGCCATCACCCAGCAACATAAAAAGAGTCATTGAATAGAAAGATATAATATCCTAATGGAATTATGTGACACCTTGGATCCCAGACATACTAAAGAAATGTATCCCTGGACTTTCAGTGATATGCCCTCAAAGGCTGTCAAATATTTTTGTTTAAAAAAAGTTATGCTGTTTTAAGTAGGAAGTTAATCACTTGCAACTGAAAAGTTTCCAACGATTACTGCTATTTCTGTGTTACCTTTCAGAAGCTGAAGGGTAGACTCTATACCCTGCTTCCATAAGAATGGGATCCATTTTGATTGTTTCTTCTTTTCAATGGAAAAAAAGCAAGTATGCATTCAGGTATTATTTTTTACCCAGTCCAGTTAGAGTTATAGTTTGGAATATTAGTTGACTAGAAAAGAATAAAAAATATCAGGAAATAGATTTTAGGCTGGGGCAGTAGCTCACGCCTGTAATTCCAGCACTTTGGGAGGCCGAGGTGGGTGGATAACCTAAGGTCAGGAGTTCAAGACCAGCTTTACCAACGTGGTGAAACCTCATCTCCACTAAAAATACAAAAAATCAGCCAGGTGTGGCGGCAGACACCTGTAATCCCAGCTACTCGGGAGGCTGAGGCAGGGGAATCGCTTGAACCCAGGAGGTAGAGGTTGCAGTGAGCCGAGATAGCACCATTGCACTTTACCTAGGGAACAAGAAAAAAAAAAAAAGAAAGAGACTTTAATGGAGAAAATCCTTAACAAATTAATATCAATTTTACGTTTACTATAGTCAAAGATTGAAGATATCTTTAAAAGGTGTGCTGTAGAATGACAATTTACAAATTCATTCAGCAGGAGATCATGTAGACATGAATTACCTGCTCTGCACTGTGATCATAAAACATTATCAAAGTTAGTTTTTAGATCAAGTGGAAAAGTTTTCTGATATTTCATTCAAAAGTACACTGGAGTTTATCTCTGTGCCCAAAAATATTCTTGAAGATGAAATACAGGGAATTACAAATAAATTTTGAACTGAGAAAGTGGAATGAGAAATAAAAGAGTAATTCTCTAATTTCCACTCTATCCCCAGGCCTATGCCCCTCCCCTTCACAATAAGTAATCCTAATTCCAGCTGTATGTGTTGGACAAGGAAGGGACAGGCGGGTGGGGCTGGTGACTAAAAGCTTTTTAGAGTATCTTGTAAGATTGTCTCTTGGAATAGTTAGAAACTTCCCTCTGCCAGAGGATTTAGTATCTGCCCCCACACTATGAAACATTTTGCTCTCCACCCATTCATCTTCTAAAAATCGTTGGCCTTAACACAATCTCTATTGTTAAGATATGGAGACATAGATTGCTGTAAATACCTCCCCAAAACACAGTGAGATTATGGCAGAGAGGAAATTGAGACCTCTTTTTCCCTAAGATACTACTTCCTCTACAAGACTTGGTTTGCTCTTGCTTTCCACACTTTGTTGTTTCTCAAACTTCCTTGTGTGCTCAGATATCCAGAGGACATGGGAAAATATAATTAACTGGGAAGACTGAAGTTTGGCTATAATTATCAATTTGGGCAATCCATTGTGGCAAGAGCCATGCAGGGTATACAAGGTCTTATACAAAACAGTCTTTTAAACCTATATTAAGTTCCACCGTTTCCACAGACTTTCCTCAGTTCTCCAAGTTTTTAACAATCTCTTCATTTCCCAGAACTACTAGAGAGGTTGATTACAAATGGTCTTATGATAGTCAATGTTTTATTGTGTATAGGATTTTCCAATATAAATACAGTATTCTCAGAGGAAAGTACATGACTTCCTTCTACATAATTTATTTTTCCATGATACTTCATATCGTTCTGGTTAAGTATATTTGTGTGGAAGAACTGGTCAGTTGTCTTGTATATGTCAGTTAATGGTGATTTCTCAATTTAATACTCATAGTTTCTTTTGCATGTTTTTATTAAGCTTTGCAAAATAGCACAAACAAATGTACTATTTACAGTTTCAGACCAAAGTATACTCTCCTGAGTATTCACATACCTAATAAACCTAATTAGTAATATAAAGAAAACCAGTATTTAACTAAATAACTTTTGTAGCACAATCATTCCACTTAGATAAATAGTTATTTGCTAAATTACTCAGGTAACAACCTGGTTCTGAGTTTCTTCTAGAGAGGAAAGAGGGTTACGGGGTCAAGATAGAGAAAGGAGGTGAGAAGTTTATATAGGAATTACTTTAAAAGTAAAAGTAAATTAAATTCTCTGAAAAAAGGAAAAGAAAAGCAAAAGGAAGGATAAGATAAAAGGGAAATTACTGATGTGTGCAAAAATATGCATATATTATTTTCCGGTGTGTCCGTGTGCAAACACATGAGAGAAATACAAGGAAATCTGTTTCTTTTTATGGTTGACTCTTCTATGTGTAGTGGGATTTTCTGGTTACATCTGAGCTAAATATTATGGCACATAGCAGAACACAGTAGTTATTGCACATGATTGTCTGTGAAGTGGGTGGGCAGGAATTTTTCATTTCATAAATCATTTCAGCTTGCTGCTCTAATTCCACAGCACTGGGAGACTAAAAAAAGCTCAAGAGGGAAAAAATGTGTTTTTCCTCTTTTTATTCTTAGTCTACCCCTTCCCAGTGTGAATAGATCTTTAGTGTTAATGATTAGGTTTTTTTATAAGACATTTCAAAATATCTTTATTGCTCTGCTTTTGAAGCAAATTATTATGTTTTCCCATTCTATTTTCTTTTTTGCCGGGGAAATTTAGTACCAAGGCAATCAGACATACAGTTTCCTTCCTTTATTTCTGCTTATTTATAGCACAGTCTATATCAATGAAATAATGCTATATTATTTTCTTGCTGATTGCTTAATGTTCACAGTTCAAAATTCCAGCCAAGGTCCTGAAGTGGTTTTACCCTTATTTAAGATTTCCTGCTGAAAACATTCTATTACAGCTTTGCAAGTAAGTACCTCCCTGGCCTCAAGTCACTATAAAGGTAATTTAGTAATTAAAATAAACACCCTTTGCAAATCTGTTTCCTCCCTTCTGGGAGACTAGGGAAGTAGTTTCCATCATATTTCAGGTTTCTCCCCATTTTCCTTAAATGATCAGCCTTCAACCAAGAAGTTACTTGGTAAGTTGTCTGTAATGTAGCTCCAGGGCAAACACAAAGTGTACATTGTGGGAAAATAAAGCAAAACAACAACAACAAAACACAAATAAAAAATGTTTCTCAACAGCTAGAGTCCATGAGCATAGTTTTATAATTTGCTTCCTGCTCCGGTAGGAAATTTAAATCGGTTCTTGAAACTATGTAGTTATTATGATTAATCAAAATCTATAGCTGTGGTGCTCTGTCTGAAGCCAGGAACTCCTGTGCCCCACTCCCTACAACAGTTAAAAAAAAAATTTTTTTTTCCTAGCAGAATAGAGCAGCGTTTAAAAGCAAAATTAAGAAAAAGGAAAAGGTAGTATATGCTAATACTGTCTTCTCACCTAGCATTTTTAGAGGTCCCTCACATTTATTATTTATCTCATCTTTAGAATTGGCTAACAGAAAGTAGCATGCAGATATCAAATGAAAAGAATACACCCTTTACACTTAAACAAAACCTTTTAATTTGCCATGCTAGTACAAAAATGGAGAGAATTGCAGTTACATTCTGTTAACTTGGAAACAGGATCTTCTTTTAAGTCAAATTTTGTTGGTTTTTAGTCAATAGGTTTCTGATTTGATTTTCATAAAAATTTTGAGTATTGTTTTCTCTTAATTTCTTCCGAAATTGTGCAAACCAAATTACATAGTTAGCCACTGTCATTTAAGTTAAAAACAATTCTATGAAAACAAATTTATTACTACTATATGGTTGGGTTTTGTGTAAATCTTCCTATACTTCTTGATTTTTAAAAATAGATGTGAAAATTAAAGCAATACAAGAGGTAGTCCTAGTCCAGATAAAAGAGATACAGAAATACTGATTCAAGCAGAGAGTTATATTTCTGAAATACTTCATTTTCCCCAGTGTAGATAGTCTGTGTAATAATGGGCTTGCATTATTAAGGGTGAAAAGTATTGATTTAATAATTATAACTCAAGAGAAAACTAAAAAATCAGGTGAACATAGTGCTGTGTTCATTTGCACTGCAATCAATTCTCCAAATATTCATTTGATAAATTACACAATAAAAGTGAATGAATAGTCCCAGGTTAGGTTAGGCCCAGTCAAAATTGTCTGAACATAAACAATAGAAAGTATCTTTCAGTCTCTCTGGTGATAAGTCTGTGACATAGGATACCAGATCTTCCAGTTGCTTAGTAGAAGCGAGAGTCAGAAAGATATGGAGACCCTCTATGGATTGTCTCTTGTGCCTAGCTAACTGCCTTCTACTCCCACAACTGATTGTCTTGTGGTTTTATTACATATATCAACATATCTCCCCTTTATCTATTCTGGTTTGATATGGATCTGTTACTTCCGAGAAAAGGGTTCTAATAAAACACCTATTAATGTATATTTTAGTGGACCACGTAAACAGAAATATATATTATTAATATATATTATTCTTATGGCACATGTTAATTCTAAATTAAGGTTCTGGGTACCCCTGGTATATGGTCTCACTAATAGGAAACAAGTAACAGGAACTATGAGTTGTGAGAGGAAAATAAATATTTTTTTCACATATAATAAAACTTTTGGAGAGCATATTTTTATATTCTTCTTTTCTTTCCATAGAACTTTTTTCCTCTTTCGTAACTACAAATTTTTCCAATCCCTTTCACACCAAGGCAAGCATAAGCACTCTAGTTACTGTGATCTAAAGACTGCTTTTTTACAAAAGTGCTGAGAAAGCAGAATAGACCAGCGTTTAAAAAGCAAAATTAAGAAAGAAGGAAAAGGTAGAAAATAAGTGATGAGAGAAGGTAGGTAGTAGACATATTTCCTGTGAATGATTTTTTCTTCAGAATTGCTGCAAGGTAGATTCAGTCTTATGCTGCTCATTTGAGGTTTCCTTTGCTACCTTTCCCAGTTCTGGCCAATTTGTATGTGTATATATTTGCCTAAGTGTATCAGGGTATATCCAGTGGAGTTAGTGAGAAGGGTGAAATGATGTCCTAAAAAACTGAGCTACCACTGTACCATTGTAAAAGCCAACAAAAATGCTCTGCAGTTGTTTTGAGTCAACAGTGCTCTACAAAGTTTACCAATGCCTGTTAACTTTCACATTCTCTTAAGATATCAGGCTTGGGGGAAGCAGAGATTTGTCCCATGATCCTCGGTGATTTTAAACCCTGTGATTTTGTTCTTCTCCAATCTCTTGCTAAGCTTAATGGAACAACATTGAAAGCAAATTCTATCTTGAAATATTTTGCTTTAATGTTTTTATAATTAGACTGCAAATTATTTGAGATTAATGAGGCTATAATTCCTCCTAATAAGAGTGGTTGTAGTAGTAGAGGCCATGATAGTGGTCACAGTTATTAATTGTAAATAATAGTAGTAGCTACCTTTTAATGAGCACTTATTATGTACCAAGCACCATGCAAAGAGCTTTAGGTAAGTTTAAACTCTATGAGATAGAGTGTACCTTATTCCCTTTATTTTACACGTGAGGAAACTGAGTCAGAGGCATTGGTAGTTTTAGTCATGGAGTTGCAGTTACAATGATAATAGTAAGTGTGGTAGCTAAACTTTAGTATTCTTTATGTGGCAAGAGCAATTCAAGTATTATCTCCTGTAATCTTGAAAAAATACTATGAATTACATGTGACCATTTCATCTCTTTCTGTATGCTGTAGATTATAAACTGCATTATTTAGTAATTTTCATTTAGGAGAAAGACAAAACACTATGTCGAATTTACTCATCAATTATATAACTCATCAATTTCACATCAGAAATACTCAAATGTGAAATTAAATGTGTATCTTTAAGCCAAAGGAAGGTACTGTTATTGTCATTTTACAAAGAGAGAAACTGAGGCTTAGTGGATACCAAAAAAAAAAAAATGCCCAAATTCATAAGCACTAGTAGCAAAGCTGAGATGTATATTCAAGTCTGTCTGGTATGGAATCAGCATAGATCTGAATAGATTTTGAGCGATAAGAGAGAATATCTCTTATTTACATCAGCCTTTTCTACTGCAAAGTGTCTGCCTATTTTTTTTTTAAGTCAGATGTCGTATCTTCACAATTCTAAATATCTGTGAACTTGTAAATCAAATGGATATCCAAAATAGAAGTGAAAAGTTGACTGCAAGCAGTGTCTGTACCCAATCACTTGGAATCGTTGAACACAAATTCTCTCAGTAGCAAGAATATTGCCTGGATAATTGACTCAACTCTCCACTTCCCCTTGCCTTGAAAAGTCAATAACTAGCTGGCTGTTTTGGTTCTTTGCCTAATTGGGCAATGATATTTCTAAGACATGATATCCATATTGTGACAGAGTTATTTCTTTATAAATATTTAATGCCACCAACAAAGACAGTTTGAGAAGTAAAATAACAATGTTTGGGTGTAGTTTCAGTCATGCCTTACCACTTTGTTATATGACCCCGTTCCCTGGCTAACATTTTCTCAGGCAGTTATTTCCTGTGCATTTCCTGAGGTTTCCACAACTAGACATTTTTTAAGGGAAATGGTAGTTAAAATAATAGAGCTTTTAAGGAATCTGAAGTTTAGTGATTAGGATTGTGGCCAATGGGTATATTTCCTGATATCTGTGAGAATTTAGAAGGTAGAATTCCTTTCTAATTATTGTAATAACAAACATCCTTAACATTTTTTTCTCTAGAAGATTGATAAGAGAAAAATTCAGCAGACCACAGTGCCGCAGGAACAACTGGCTGCCATTGTGCTTAAAGAGAAACAAAACAGGAAGCAAACCAAGAAAACCAATCCTGACTCCCGCATACAAACTGAGAGACGGTCAGGAGAAAGAAACGTGTTTAGATAGGAGTGATGCAATCAAAGGTTTACTATATCATAACAAAGAGGCCTGCATATGATCAAACTTTTGAACATTCTCTTACAAAAGATATTTGGAATCAGTATTATTTATTTTCCTGTAGATCTTAAATGAAAAATACAGATCTGCAGAAGAGGGCTGGTTTATAAAGAAGAGCAGTTCTAAGCACACAAAAGATAAAACAGCACTACATTTCAAACCAAAAGAGTTTAAGTTTTATGCTTGAAAGGGTGATGAGATTTTATCAAAGTGAACACAGAAACATTTGTAAGGTCTTTATATCTTTGGGAATGCTTAGGATGTCAATCTCTCCTTTTCCAGGGATTTCACCCTTCCTTAACTATAAAAAGAAGACTTCTTGGGCCAGGCCGGTGGCTCACGCCTGTAGTCCCAGCACTTTGGGAAGCCGAGGCGGATGGATCACGAGGTCAGGAGATCGAGACCAGACTGGCCAACATGGTGAAACCCCGTCTCTAACAAAAATAGAAAAATCAGCTGGGCATGGTGGTGCATGCCTGTAGTCCCAGCTACTTGGGAAGCTGAGGCAGGAGAATTGCTTGAACCTGGGAGGTGGAGGTTGCAGTAAACCGAGATCGTGCCACTGCACTCCAGCCTGGTGACAGAGCAAGAGTCCGTCTGAAAAAAAAAAAAGACTTCTTAATAAAAAACAGGCATACCTCATTTTACTGCACTTCACTTTTTTTGTGCTTCACAGATATTGCTTTTTTTTTTTTTTTTTTTTTTTTTTACAAATGGAAGGTTTGTGTGGTAACCCTTCATTCAGCAAGTCCATTGGTGCCATTTATCCAAGAGCATGTGCTCACCTTGCGTCTCTATGTTACATTTTGGTAATTCTTACAATATTTAAAAATTTTCACTATGATTATATCTGTGATGGTGGTCTGTGATCAGTGATCTTTGATGTTCCTATTGTAATTGTTTTAGGGCACCACCAACTGCATTCATATAGGACGGTGCACTTAATTGGTAAATACTGTGTGTATTCTAACTGCTCCACCAATCAGGTGTTGCCTCATCTTTCTCCTGCTCCTTGGACTCTCAATTCCCTCAGACACAACAGTGTTGAAATTAGACCAATTAATATCCCTACAATGGCCTCTAAGTGTTGAAGTGAAAGAAAGAGTTTCATGTTTCTCACTTTAAATAAAAAGCTAGATATGATTAAGCTTAGTGAGTGTATTAGTCTGTTCTCATGTTGCTAATAGAGACATACCTGAGACTGGGTAATTTATAAAGAAAAGAGGTTTAATGGACTCACCACTCCACATGATTGGGGAGACCTCACAGTGATGGTGAAAGACGAAGGAAGAGCAAAGAGACATCTTACATGGTGTCAGGCAGAGAGAGCTTGTGTAGGGGAACTCCCTTTTATAAAACGATCAGATATCATGAGATTTATTCACTATCAAGAGAACAGCAGGGGGAAGACCCATCCCCATGATTCAACTGCCTCCCACTGGATCCCTTCCATAGCACGAGGGAATTATGGGAGCTACAATTCAAGATGAGGTTTGGGTGCAGACACAGACAGACCATATCATTCTGCCCATGGCCCCTCCCAAATTTCATGTCCTCACATTTCAAAATCCGTCATGCCTTTCCAACAGTCCCCCAAAGTCTTAAGTCATTTCAGCATTAATTCAAAAGTCCACAGTCCAAAGTCTCATCGGAGACAAGCTAAGTCCCTTCTGCCTATAAGCCAGTAAAATCAAAAGCAAGTTAATCACTTCATACATAGAATGGGGGTACAGGCATTGGGTAAATACAGCCATTTCAAATGGGAGAAATTGGCTAAAATGAGGGGGCTAAAGACCCCATGCAAGTCTAAAATCCAGCAGGGCAGTCAAATCTTAAAGCTCCAAAATGTTCTCCTTCAACTTAATGTCTCTCATCCAGGTCACACTGATGCAAGAGGTGGGTTCCCATGATCTTAGGTCCCCTGTGGCTTTGTAGGGTACAGCCTCCCTCCTGGCTGCTCTCACAGGGTGGCATTGAGTGTCTGTGGCTGTTCCAGACACATGATGCAAGCTGTTGGTGGATCCACCATTCTGGGGTCTGGTGGATGGTGGCCCTCTTCTCACAGCTCCACTAGGCAGTGCCCAGTGGACTCTGTGTGGAGGCTTCAACCCCACATTTCCCTTCCATACTGCCCTAGCAGAGGATCTCCATGAGGGTCCTGCCCCTGCAGCAAATTTCTGCTTGGACATCCAAGCAATTTATATATCCTCTGAAATCTAGGCAGAGGTTCCTAAATCTCAATTTTTGACTTCTGTGCACCCACAGGCTCAACACCACATGGAAACTGCCAAGGCTTGGGGCTTGCACCCTCTGAAGCCATGGCCTGAGCTGCACCTTGGCCCCTTTTTGCCATGGCTAGAGCGGGTGGGATGCAGGGAACCAAGCTCCTAGGCTTCACACAGAAGGGGGACCCTGGGCCTGGCCCATGAAACCATTTTTTCCTCCTAGGACTCTGGGCCTGTGAAGGGAGGGGCTTCCGTGAAAGTCTCTGACATGCTCTGGAGACATTTTCCCCATTGTCTTGCTGATTAACATTTGACTCCTCATTACTTATGCAAATTTTTGCAGCCAGCTTAAATATCTCCTCAGAAAATTGGTTTTTCTTTTCTATTGCATTATCAGGCTACACATTTTTCAAACTTTTATGCTTTGTTTCCCTTTTAAAACTGAATGCTTTTAAAAGCGCCCAAGTCAACTCTTGAACTATTTGCTGCTTAGAAATTTCTTCCACAAGATACCCTTAATAATCTCCCTCAAGTTCAAAGTTCCAAAAATCTCTAAGGCAGGGTCAAAATGCTGCCAGTCTCTTTGCTAAAGCATACATAGCAGGAGTCACCTTTGCTCCAGTTCCCAACAAATTTTTTGTCTCCATCTGAGACCAACTCAGCCTGGATTTCATTGTCCATATCATTATTAGCGTTTTGGTCAAAGCCATTCAACAAGTCTCTAGGAATTTCCAAACTTTCCCACGTTTTCCTGTCTTCTTCTGAGCCTTCCAAACTGTTCCAACCTCTGCTTGTTATCCAGTTCCAAAGTTGCTTCCACATTTTTAGGTATCTTTACAGCAGCCCGCCACTCTACTCCTACTAATTTAGTGTATTAATCTGTTTTCATGATGCTGATAAAAACATACTTGAGACTTGGTAATTTATAAAGAAAAGGAGGTTTAATGGACTCATAGTTCCATGTAGCCAGGGAGGCGTTACAATCGTGGTGGAGGATGAAAGGCACGTCTTACATGGAGACAGGGCAGGGGCCTTGTGTAGGGGAACTCCCCTTTATAAAACCACCAGATCTTGTGAGCCTTATTCACTATCACAAGAACAGCATGGGAAAGACCCGCCCCCATGATTCAATTACTTCCCACTGGTTCCCTCTCACAGTGTGTGGTAATTATGGAAATTATAATTTAAGATGAGATTTGGGTGGGGACACAGATAAACTATATCAGTGAGGAAAGCATGTTGAAAGCTGAGAGAGGTCAAAAGCTAGGCTTCTTGTACCAAACTGTTAGACAACTTGTGAATACAGAGGAAAACTTCTTGCAGGAAATTAAAAGTACTACTCCAGTGAACACAAGAATAATAAGAAAGTAAAATGGCCTTATTGCTGATGTGCAGAAAGTCTGGGTATTCTGGATAGGAGACCAAATCACCCACAATATTCTCTCAAACCAAAGCCAAATTCAGAGCAAGGCCCCAACTCACTTCAATTCTATGAAGGCTGTGAGAGGATGAGGAAGCCACAGAAGAAAAATGCGAATTGAGTAGAGGTGGGTCCATGAGGTTTAAGGAGAAAAGCCATCTCCATTGCATAAAAGTACAGGGTGAAACAGCAAGTGCTGATGTAAAAGCTGCAGCAAGTTATCCAGAAGATCTAGCTAAGATAACTGACAAAGGTGGCTACATGAAAAAATAGATTTTCAATGTAGATGAAACAGCCTTCTATTGGAAGAAGATGTTATCTAGGACTTTCACAGCCAGAGAGAAGAAATCAATGCCTGACTTCAGAGCTTCAAAGAACAAGCTGACTCTCTTGTTAGTGGCTAATGCTGCTGGTGACTTTAACTTGAAGCCAATGATAATTTATCATTCTGAAAATTATAGGGCCCTTTAAAATTATGCTGAATTGACTTTTTTTGTTCTCTAGAAATGGAACAAAGCCTGGATGATGAGACATCTGTTTGCTGAATATTTTAAGCCCACTGTTGAGACATACTGCTCCAAAAAAAAATTTTTTTTAAGCTATTACTGCTCATTGACAATGCACCTGGTCACCAAAGAATTCTGATGGAGATGTACAAGATTAATGTTGTTTCCATTATAGCTAACACAATATCTATTCTGCAACCCATAGATCAAGGAGTAATTTTAATTTTCATGTCATATTATTTAAGAAATATGTTTTATAAGTTTATAGCTGCCATAGATAATGATTCCTCTGGTGAATATGGACAATGTAAATTGAAAACCTTCTGGAAAGGATTCACCATTCTAGATGGCATTAAGAACATTCATGATTCTTGGGAGGAGATCAAAATACAACACTATAACAGGAATTAGGAAAAAGTTGATTCCAACCTTTTTGGATAACTTTGAGGGTTCAATACTTCATTGGAGGAAGTAACCATAGATGTGGTAGAAATAGTGAAAGAAATAGAATCAGAAGTGAAACCTGATGTGACTGAATTGCTACAACCTCATGTTCAAATGAAAAGATGAGGAGGTGGCAGTTCTTATGGATAAGCAAAGAAAGTAGATTTTCAGGACAGAATCTACTGCTGGTGAAGGTGCTATGAACATTGTTGAAATGACAACAAAGGATTTAGAATATTACATAAACTTAGTAGATAAAGCAGTGGCATGGCTTGAGAGGATTGATTTCAATTTTGAAATAAGTCCTACTGTTGTTAAAATGCTACTAAATAGCATTGCATACTACAGAGAAATCTTTGGGAAAGGAAGAGTCTATCAATGAAGTATGTTTCATTGTTGCCTTGTTTAAGAAATTGCCACAGCTAACATAACCAGCAACTATCACCCTGACTAGTCAATAGCCATCAATATTGAGACAAGATTCTCCACCAGCAAAAAAAATTGAAGACTCATTGAAGGCTCAGAGGGCTGCTAACATTTTTTTAGCAATAAAGTTTTTTAAAATTAAGGTATGTATATTTTATAGTATAAACATAACTTTTTGAGATTGTAATCAATTTTTAAATTTTTGTGAGTGCATGGTGCATATATATGTGCATATATGTATATATCACATTGTGCTGGTGAATACTAGACTTTATTCATTATTTCCAATTATTTTTTGTGCCCATTAACCATCTCCACTTCCCCCAACCACCCCCCTACTATGCTTCTCAGCCTCTGATAACCATCCTTTCACTCTCTATCTCCATGAGTTCAGTTGTTTTTGTTTTTAGCTCCCACGAATAAATGAAAGCATGCAAAGTTTGTCTTTCTGTGTCTGGCTTATTTCACTTAACATCATGACCTCCAGTTTCATCCTGATTATTGCAGATGACACGATCTCATTCTTTTTTTTGATGTAAAGTACCCCATTGTGTACATATACCACATTTTCTTTATGCATTTATCTGTTGATGGACACTTAGGTTACTTCCAAGTCTTGAGTATTGTGAGCAATGATGCAATAAACATGGGACTGCAGATATCTCTTCAATATACTAATATACATTATTTTGGGTATACACATAAGAGTGAAATTGCTGGATATTATGGCAGCTATATTTTCGACTTTTTTGAGAAACCTCCAAACTTTTCTCTGTAATGGTACTAATTTACATTGCCAACAGCATACAAGGGTTCCTTTTTCTCCACATCCTTGCCAGCATTTGTTATTGCCTGTCTTTTGGATAAAAGCCAATTTAACTGGGGTGAGATGATATCTCATTATAGTTTTGATTTGCATTTCTCTGATGATCAATGATGTTGAGCACCTTTTCATATACATGTGTGCTATTTGTATGTCTTCTTTTGAGAAATGTCTATTTATATCTTTTGCCCATTTTAAAATTTCATTATTAGATTATTTTCTACAGAGTTGTTTGAGCTCCTTATGTATTATTGTTATTAATCCCTTGTCAGATGGATAGTCTGCAAATATTTTCTCCCATTCTGTGGGTTGGCTTTTCACTTACTTGTTTCTTTACTTTGCTGTGCAGAAGCTTTTTAACTTGATGTTATGCCATTTGTTCATTTTTGCTTTGGTTTCCTGTGCTTGTTGGGTATTACTCAAGAAATCTTTGCCCAGTCCAATGTCTTGGAGAGTTTCCCCAATGTTTCCTTTCAGTAATTTCAGAGTTTAGGCTTAGATTTAAGTCATTAATCCATTTTGACTTGATTTTTGTATATGGCAAGAGATAGGGATCTAGTTTCATTCTTCTGCATATGGATATCCAGTTTGGCCAGCATCATTTATTAAAGAGATTATCCTTTCTCAAATGTATGATCTTGGCATCTTTGTCACAACTGAATTTACTGCAGATGTATGGATTTGTTTCTGGGTTCTGTATTCTGTTTCACTGTTCTATGTATCTGTTTTTATACCAGCACCATGCTGTTTTGGTTACTATAACTCTGTAGTATAATTTGAAGTCAGGTAATGTGATTCCTCTAGTTTTGTTCTACATAGCTTTGGCTATTCTGGGTCTTTTGTGCTTTCATGGAAATTTTAGGTTTTTTAAAAACAATTCTGTGAATAACATCATGGTATTTTGATAGGGATTGCATTGAATCCATATATTGCTTTGGGTAGTACAGACATTTAAACAATATTGATTCTTCTAATCCGCGATTATGGAGTATCTCTCCATTTTGTGTGTGTGTGTGTCCTCTTTAATTTCTTGCATCAATGTTTTATAATTTTTATTGGAGAGATCTTTCACTTTTTTGGTTAATTTCTAGGTATTTTATTTAATTTTTAGCTATTATAAATGGGATTACATTCTTAATTCATTTTTCAGGTTGCTTGTTTGGCATGTAAAAATGCTACTGATTTTTGTATGTTGACTTTGTATCCTGCAACTTTACAGAATTTGTTAACCAGTTATACTGTCTTTATTTGTGTGGAGTCTTCAGGTTTTTCCAAATATAAGATAACATAATCTATAAACAAGGATAATTTGTCTTCTTCTGTTCTAATTTGCATGTCCTTTATTTCTTGTCTGATTGCTCAAGCTAGGACTTCCAGTGCTATATTGAATAACAGTGGTAGAAGTAACCATCCTTGTTGTGTTACAGATCTTAGAGACAAAACTTTCAGCTTTTCCCCATTCAGTATGATATTAGCTATGGGTCTGTCACATATGGCTTTTATTATGTTGAAGTATGTTCCTTCTGTACCAGTTTTTTAAGGGTTTTTATCATGAAGAGATGTTGAATCTTACCAAATGCTTTGCAGCATCAGTTGAGATTATCATATGGTTTTCATCCTTCATTATGTTGATAGGATGTATCACATTGATTGATTTGTGTATGTCAAACCATCCTTGCATTCCTGGAATAAATCCCACTTGGTCATGATGAATGATCTTTTAAATGTAGTATTGAATTCAGTTTGCTAGTATTTTGGTGAAGATTTTTTCATAATTATTAATTGGTGGTATTAGCTTGTAGTTTTCTTTTTGTATGTGTCTTTGTCTGGTTTTAGTATCACGGTTATACTGACCGCATAGAATTTGGAAGTATTCCCTCCTCTTTGTTTTTGAATAGTTTGAACAGAATTAGTATTGATTCTTCTTTAAACATTTGGCTTCAGCAGTGGAGCCATCTGTCCTGGGTTTTTCTTTGCTGAGAGACTTTTTACTATGGCTTCAATCTCATTACTTGCTATTGGTCTAGTCAGGTCTTGGGTTTCTTTATGGTTCAATGTTGAGAGGTTGTGTGCATCTAGGAATTTATTCATTTCTTCTAGGTTTTCCATTTTATTGGCATATTGTTCCTCATACTAGCCACTAATATTGCTTTACATTTCTGCAGTATCAGTTGTAATATCTCCTTTTCACCTTTAATTTTATTTATTTAGGTATTCTCTCTTTTTTTCTTAGTCTGGCTAAAAATTTGTCAGTTTTGTTTATCTTTTCCAAAAAACCAACTTTTCATGTTGTTGATCTTTTGTATTTTCTTCTGTTTCAATTCCATTAATTTCTTCTCTAATCTTTATTATTTCTTTTTTTTCCTACTAATTTCGGGTTTAGTTTGTTCTTGCATTTCTAGTTCTTTAAGATGCATTGTTAGGTTATTTATTTTCTTCTTTTTTGATGTCATTATAAACTTATAGCTATAAACTTCCCTCTTAGTACTGCTTTTTCTGTATACCATAGGTTTTGGTATGTTTTGTTTCCATTATTATTGGTTTCAAGAAGTGTTTCAATTTTCTCCTTAATTTTTTCATTGGCCTACTGGTCATTCAGGAGCATATTGTTTAATTTTCATGTGTTTGTATAGTTTCCAAAATTCCTCTTGTTATTGCTTTCTAGTTTTATTTCATTGTGGTCAGAGAAGATGTTTGATATTATTTCAGTATTTTTGAATATTTTAAGATTTGTTTTGTGACCCAACATGTGGTCTATCCTTAAGAATGATG
Source organism: Homo sapiens (assembly GCF_000001405.40). Classification (NCBI taxonomy): domain Eukaryota; kingdom Metazoa; phylum Chordata; class Mammalia; order Primates; family Hominidae; genus Homo; species Homo sapiens. The sequence goes on from NC_000010.11 coordinate 52,588,024, forward strand.
CATGTGCTGAGGAAAAGAATGTGTATTCTACAGCTGTTGAATGAAATGTTCTGTAAATATCTATTAGGTACATTTCGTCTATACTGCAGTTTAAGTCTGATGTTTCTTTTTTGATTTTCTGTCTGGAACATCTGTCCAATGCCAAAAGTGGAGTGTTAAATTCTCCAGCTATGATTGTATTCAGGACTATCTTTCTCTTTAGCTCTAGTAATATTTGTTTTATATATCTGGGTGCTCCAGTATTAGGTGCATATGTATTTACAATTATATCGTCTTGCTGAATTGACTTCTTTATCATTACATAATGACCTTCCTTGTCTCTTCTTTCAGGTTTGTATTTAAATCTATTTTGTCTGATATAAGTATAATTATCCTTGCTCTTTTTTTGGTTTTCATTGGCATAGCATATCTTTTTCCATCCCTTTATTTTCAGTCTATCCACGGATCTTTATAGGTGAAGTGTGTTTCTTATAGACAACAGATCATTGGGTCTTGTTTCCTATCCATTCTGCCACTCTATGTCTTTTGATTGGAGAGTTTTGTTCATTTACATTCAATATTATTATTGATAAGTAAGGACTTATTCCTGCTATTTTGTTATTTGCTTTCTGGTTGTTTTGTGTTCTTCTCTTTCTATTTTCTTTTCTTCCTGCCTTAGTTTTAGTGAAGGTGATTTTCTCTGGTGGTATGATTTAATTTCTTGCTTTTTACTTTTTGTGTATCTATTGTATGTTTTATGATTTCAGGTTACCATGAGGCTTACAAATACTATCTCATAACCCATGATTTTTAAGCTGATACAACTTAATGCTGCTTATATAAGCAAACAAGGAAAAAGAAAATTAATTTAAAAAATCTACACTCTAACTTTGTTTCCCCACTTTTTAACTTTTTATTGTTTCTACTTTATCTTATTGTACTGTCTATGTCTTGAAAAGTTGTTGTAGCTATTATTTTTGTTTGGTTCATCTTTGAGTCTTTCTACTTAAGATAACAGTAGTTTGCACACTACAGTTACAGTGTTATAATATTCTGTGTTTTTCTGTGTACTTACTATTGACAGTGAGTTTTGTACCTTCAGATGATGTCTTGTTTTTCCTTAGTGTCTTTTTATTTCTGATTGAAGTACTCCCTTTAGCATTTCTTGTAGGACAGGTCTGGTGTTGATGAAATCCCTCAGCTTTTTTGTGTCTGGGAAAGTCTCTATTTCTCCTTCATGTTTGAAGGATATTTTCACTGGATATACTATGCTAGGGTAAAAATGTTTTTCTTTCAGCACTTTATGGCATTCTACTCTCTCATGGCCTGTGAAGTTTCCCCTTAAAAGTCTGCTGCCAGACTTATTAGAGCTCCAGTATATGTTATTTGTTTGTTTTCTCTTGTTGTTTTTAGGATCCTTTCTTTATCCTCAACCTTTGGGAGTTTATTAAATGCCTTGAGACATGTTTCTTTGGGTTAAATCTGCGTTGTGTTCTATAATCTTCTTGTACTTGGCTATTGATATCTTTCTTTAGATTTGGGAAATTCTCTTTTATTATCCCATTGGGTATGCTTCCTACTCTATCTCTTTCTCTACTTCTGATTTAAGGCCAACAACCCTTAGATTTGCCCTTTTGAAGTGATTTTCTAGATCCTGTAGGTATATTACATTGATTTCAATTCTTTTTGTTTTGTCTCCTCTGTGTATTTTTAAATAGCCTGTCTTCAAGCTCACAAATTCTTTCTTCTGCTTGATCATTCTGCCACATTTTCTGTATGTAAATTGCATTTTTCAACACCAGAATTTCTACTGGATTGTTTTTAATTATTTTATTATCATTGTTAAATTTATCTGATAGGATTCTGAATTTCTTATCTATGTTACCTTGAACGTCTTTGAGTTTCCTCAAAACACCTATTTTGAATTCTCTGTCTGAAAGGTCATATATCTCTGTGTCTCCGGGATTGGTCCCTGGTGCCTTATTTAGTTTGTTTGGTGAAGTCATGTTTTCCCAAATGGTCTTGATGCTTGTTGATGTTTGTCAGTGTCTGGGGATTGAAGAGTTAGGTATTTATTGTAGACTTTATAGTCTGGGCTTGTTTGTACCTGCCCTTCTTAGGAAGGCTTCCCAAATATTCAAAAGGACTTGAGTGTTGTGATCTAAGCCATATCTGCATTAGGGGACACCCCAAGTCCAGTAATGTTGTGGTTCTTACAGACTCATAGAGGTACTGCCTTGGTAGTCTTGGATAAGATCTGGAAGAATTCTCTGGATTAACAAGTAGAGACTCTGATTCTCTTGCCTTACTTTCTTCCAATCAAAGGGAGCCTCTGGGGCTGGGGGTGGGGTGGCACAGGCACTTCTGTGGCCACCACCGCTGGAAATGCTTTGGGTTAGACCTAAAGCCAGCACAACACTGGGCCTTACCCAAGTCCCAGTGTAATTACTGCCTGGCTACCACTTCTGTTCGCTCAAAACCCTAGAGCTCTATAATCAGCAGATGGCCAAGTCAGTCAGTCTTCTGTTCATCCCTTCAGGGCAGCAAGATTTCCCCAGGTCCCAAGTAGGTCCAGAGATGCTGTCTGGGATCTAACTGGAGTCAAAAACCTTAGAAGTCTACTTGGTGTTCTATTCTGCTTTGGCAGAGTTGGCCCTCAAACCAAAAAACACAGTCCTTCTCACTCTTCCCTTCCCTTTCTTCAAGCAGAAGAGCCTCACCCCTTGGCCACCACCACCACAGGCCCATAGCAAGTACTGCCAGGCTACCACTGATAGTCACTTAAGGCCCAGGGGCTCTTCAATCAGCTTGTGGTGAATGCTGCCAGGCCTGGGACTCACCCTTCAGGGCAGTGGGCTCCCCTCTGGCTCAGGGCAGGTCTAGAAATAATGTCCAAGAGCCAAGGCCTGGAATCAGAGACTCCAAGATTGTGCTTGGCACTCTACCCAACTGTGGTCAAGCTGATTCCTAAGGTGCAAGGCAAAGTCCCCTTTAGTTTTCCCTCTGCTTTTCTCAAGCAGGAGTCTTACTGATATAGGAGTTAAGAGGAAACTACTTAGGCAGATAGTGAAGGTATGGGAGTCCTCAGTAAGGTTATCCTTTTTAATGAAGAGCAGCCCCCAAATCATTTTCTAATAAAGAGTAGCCTGTAAAACCAAGCTGCAGACATAGACAAGCAAGCTGGAAGCTTGCACGGGCGAATGCCAGCAGGAAAAAGCTACCTAGGACTTGACATGTTCAAAATGGTGACTCCATCTTCCCTTCCCTTTGCCAGTCACTTGTAGGAACAGACCAGATGGTGCCAGCCAAATAGTCCATTTGCATAATAAGATTAGGATGGGATGACTAGCCTTTCCCTTGTGCTATGTAAACATCACACCTGGTTGAACCAATCTGTGAGCCCTACATAAATCAGACGCCACCTCCCCAAGCCTGCCTATAAAATCTGCTGCAGTCACAGCTCTTCTCTTTTCAGATGCCTCTCTCCCAAAAGAGAGAGACCTGCTCTCCTCTCTCCTTTCTTCTCCCTATTAAGCTTTCTGCTCCCTAACACACTGTGTGTGTGTGTCCGTGTCGTTAATCTTCTCAGCACAAGATGACAAACCCTAGGTACTTACTCCAGACAATGATGCCACTTCATTACCATAGCCACCATAGTTGTGAATGTGCTGGGTCTCACCTGATGCCCAAATGTCTCGGAATCTCACCAAGACCCATGGCGTGCTACCTGTGTATCACTGCTGGTTATTCAGGGCCAAATGGCTCTTTAGTCAGCAGGTGATGGATACTGCCAAGACTGGGTCCTTTCCTTCAAGGAGGTGGTTTCCCTTCTGGCTCAGGGTGTATCTAGGAATGTTGTTCAGGAGCTAGGGCCTGGAATGGGGGCCTCACAACTCTGACCGGTGCCCTATCCTACTGTGACTGAGCTACTATACAAGATGAAAGACAAAAGTCCTCTGTACTCTTCCCTCTCCTCTCCTCAAGCAGAATGAAGGGGTTTCTTTTGGAGACTCATGCTGTGTTTCCTGGGGTTGGGGGAGGGGAGGTGCAAGCACTGCCTTAGCTGGCCTGGCCAGTGCCTTAGTAAGTCGAGTGCCCCCAAATTCCACTGGTTCAGAGCCCAGCTCAGAACTAGGGCTTGTAGTCTTTGTGGCCTAGATTGCCTTTCAATCTGGGGCCTGAGAACACTTCAGCCCATGGTGGTGAGGCTTGTGAGAAGCCGGAACTCAAGTTTCAACTTCTGGGTTGGGCAATTCCACTATGGCTCAGGCTGGTCTGAATGCTCCCTTGGTGGGCGGGCATCAGCGAAGTTCAGCCGGGTTTTGCTTTCTGCTCTGACAGGGCAGCACGAAGTTCAATGCAAAGTCTCACAATCGCTGAGCTAACCCTCTGCCAAAGGGCACAGATTTCTCTGCACCATGGGGCCACTGTGGAAAAGAGTGTGTGAGGAAAGAGGCGGGACAGGTGGCTTCAGCATTTCAAGATGGCCTCCTACTCTATTCATTGCCTCTTTCAGCAATATGAAATTAAAGCCAGGTACTGTGAGTACTCACCTGATTTGTAATTCTTATGAAGGTGTTTTTGATGTAGATAGTTGTCAAATTTAGTGTTCCTGTAGGGGCGACTATCAGCGATGACTTCTATTCCACCATTTTACTCTGCCCCTTTCCACCATGACTTCTATATGCATTAGTAAACTAAGAATTTTGTGTGACTCACTTTATTGAGATATTTTTATTATAGGGGTGGTCTGGAACCAAACCCACAATATCTCCAAGATATGCCTGTATATCCAGTGTAGTCAAGCTTACTATCATTATACTGCCCTGATTCTTTTTCTCATGTATTTTTCCCTCTTAGAGTCTTTTGCTGATTACTTTTGCCACCCCTGTGCTGGGTCCAGTACTTAAACGTGGACCAGGTACTGTGTAGCATTGCTGTGATAAGGTTCGGGTATGCAAAAAGATTTCTAAAGTTTAGGTCATAAATAGGAATAATCTTTTAAAAAAAGTCAGCAACATAATTTTTTGTTTTATATGAAATATAAAATCTTGCCCTTTGAGCCCTTTGGCTAGAGTCTTAGAAATAAGAAGTCACACCTGATACGGTGGAGACCTCATTTTCTGGCCCCCCATAATCCATTCACTTTTCTTTTGGTGATCACGTATCCCAATCTCTTTGATGAACCACCCTTCTTCTCTGAGGACAGGTGGTTTGAGTGAGACTGACACCAGTCAAGAATTTGGAGGTGGAGCACATGATCCTGGCCTATATCAATCGGTTTGTATTTTATTTGTATTTTTCCAGTGATTGGCATTTTGCCTGGTATGTACAAGGAATTCAACATAGATGTGTTGATTTTAGGTAGAGAGGAAGATGCATGTTCTGTACTAATAATATTCTGGTTAAAAAAGGAAAAAAATACATAAAGGAAAATAAATCAGCAAGATTAGCTTATTAAGAATGGATATAGGAAGTGTAATCACAAGACACTTTTACTTGTGCAATCATGAGTCCTGTTTATCTTACACTTGTTGACTTGGAGGCAAGTCTTTTTTAGTAAGCAACTCTTTCTTTCTCTTTTCATATCAGTGAGTCTAACCTTTTTTCTGCCTATTTTTCTACCAGTATGCCATTTCCTAACACTGAAACATCTCTCACTTTTCCTATGCTAAGCAGCATCTGTTCCTACCTTCTATGAGCCTCTGGCACACACTTCGTTGTGCCTTCTCAAAGGTCGGCTGTGGGGCATACACTAGGAAAACGCTGCTCCATTTAACTGGACCCTTATAAGGAGTAAACTCAAGTATTTGTGTGGTTATGGCAGTCACAATTAGCAGATAAGTAAGTCATCAGTTGGCTCATGTATTATTTAGGGCAGGTCTGAGTGCACAATTGAGAGTCTGTTCAGGTGAAACAAATGAACTATCATGTCGCCCTGCCTAAAATGTGAATTACTAACACCCAGTAAAATGGGTGACCTTGCAAATACTGATGCAATTAGGAAAATGTGCTTCTCCTTCCTGTAGGATTAAATGAACTCTGAGAATAAAAATTTTGTCCTTTGGAAATTGAAATGTGTGTGTGTGTGTTCCCAGGTACACTCCAACAGCTATCCACTGACCATAATACAATTAAACAGATGACTTCAAGAGGAGCAAACTGGAATAGCCTTTTCACAATCAGAGTGTTCTGTGGGATATGAGGTGCCAAGCAACACCTTGGGTGTCCTGCTGGAGGTCTAGGGTACTATGTCAAGCAGACAACTTAGTCTTGGGGAAGTATTCTATGAGGATAGTGAGCCTGAAGTAAGACCAGCATCTGTGAGCTTGTGTTTGTATTCCCTAAGGGTGGTAACTCTCAGAGAAGAGGTTAGAGGAAGGAGGGCTTTCTAGAAAGTTCAAACCTGAGTTCAGAAAAGAAGCTCAAGAGCAATGGATGCTCCTGAAGAGAATATCCTGACTGAAGAATCCCTAATTTCATGGTTTTTTTTATATTAGACTTTGGGAATATTTAGAGATTTTTCTTTAATTTTCTGTCATGGACACTCTAAATCCCTTCAGATGACCAAACCCATTAGGAAACTCTGATATACTTCAACGGCGTTGTGCGATATTGCTATGGTGACTGAAGAAATGGAATAGAAAAGGGGAGGATGTCTTCGGGGAGGAGATACATTATTTTTGAAGGGATTGTGTCTTGGAATTTCAGGTAATACCAAAAACAGATTAAGGAGATGGCAGAGCTGAGAGAAGTCAGAGTGGTGTATCATGTGGTAGAGCAAGTAGTGGTGGACAATACAACTTGCGAGAGAGATATTTCAACGCCTTTTCACTCCTTTCCAATCTAGAGGTTGTTGATACTCAAAAGGGAGGTGGGAAGAGAGCAAGGTGAATTACGCATAGATGGAGAAAACTAATGAAGTAAAAAAAAAAACCCTAATATTTCTTAATGCTAATAACTTTACATACATCATTATATTTAATCCTATACTCTGTGACATCATATCTCGATTTATTATGTGGTTGCATCTGGAAGACATGAAAAATGAAACAGGTAAATTGAATGGCTTGTCTCAAGTTCCACAATTAGAAAAAAATCTGAGCAAGGAGAGAAAAACCCAGGTCCATTTGATTCAAGTCCATATTCTTTTTTTAACATGTGTGATTATGATTTAGATTACTAAGAGATTTATAAATTATATTTGTAATTATAATTATATTTTATTTTTTGAGAGTTATACAGTTATAAATCTTATATTTGTAATTATATTTTATATTTTTAAGAGTGTCTTACACAGCTATAAATCTTGCATAAGTAATAATGGGACTTGTTAGTCAGATCTTTTACAGAAATAGGTTAATATTTATACAACTTAAAAAATAAATCAAAATTAATTTGATTTTCAAATTATTTACTCCCTCTACTGGTGACTTTTTGAAGTGATATAAGTGCAATAGATACGTAGAATGTGACCTCCCATAAGTATCTTTCTGCGCACGTGTGTATGTGTGTGTGTGTGTGTGTGTGTGTGTGTGTGAGAGAGAGAGAGAGAGAGAGAGAGACGGAGAGAGAGAGAGAGAGAGACAGAGAAATACATATGACTTATAAATATTTCTGGTGAAATGAATTAGGATGTAAAAATTCATCTTCCAGTGGGTAACTTGATGCCCCAGAAACTTTTACAAAAGGTAAAAGTTTTCCTGTGGCTTACTATGTTCACAATATAAGAATAATGTGTTTCTTTGATCTGTGCTGAATATTCTTTAGCAAAATCATAAAGGCCTTTTGTGAATGTAATTCTGTTTCATGCTAATACAAACACATAGATACAAGTTTTATAATCTTCTCTTTCATATTTCAACCTATGAACTGGGAATATTAGTGTAAGTTGGCAAGATACTCTTTCCATTTCCAATTTTGTAAGCATTTTAAATACAAATTGTAGAGAGATCTTATTAACACTTGTAGACTTTGCTTTCAGCCATGACAGACAGACAAGGACGTAGAGAAGAGGGCTAAAGCAATAAATTCTTTTTTTTTTTTTGCCTTTTGCAAACATTAATAATGTAAAGTTATGTAGAGCATTTCAGTTTAGCACCCATGTGCTGAATGACAGAATGGTAGTAATCTGTGTAGAAACTGTGACTTTGACTTTCACCAGATTTTTCATTTTTCCTTAGAAAAGTTTCAATTCTATAGTGAATTCAATTGTGATGCCTTTTGGCTATTTTAGATTTTGGAAACAAGCAGAGATTAGAATTCTTCCCAGTGAATCATAGTAAATGTTATAACCAAATAACAAAGTAGGAAATACAAATAGTTGCTATGGATAATTCAGGAAGTAGTTTTGCAAGATTATTAAAAGCTTAGATTTGAGTCAGGTAAACATGATTTGAATCCTGGATGGCCATCCATTAACTATTTATTTTACTTTTGGCAAGTTAATTAATTATATAGGTTTTAAGATGTTGAAATAATCTGATATATCTAAGTCCAGACTAGTAATTGGTGGACAGTAGTGCCCAATTACTATTCTCAATTATTACTAAAGAGAAATATAAATTTCATTAGTAAAGTAAATAAAGTTGAATAAAAATAACCATGATGTATATGATTTCACAAATTACAAAGTTTTGATTTTTAAAAAATGATGCTGGCAAGGGTGTAATAGATAGGTATCCCTACATATGAGGTATATGGTTCTTCTAAAAAGCAACATAAGAAAGAAAAATATCTTTTTCTTTGGTCTAACTACTATACTTGTAGTAATCTTTAAAAGATTAAAACCCGAGGCAGCCAAATATTTATAAAAGAGGATATTTGCAAAATGATTTACATTACAGAAATGTTGGCCAGGTGCGGTGGCTCACACCTATAATCCCAGCACTTTGGGAGGCCGAGGTGGGTAGATCACGAGGTCAGGAGATCGAGACCATCCTGGCTAACATGGTGAAACCCCCATCTCTACTGAAAATGCAAAAAATTAGCTGGGTGTGGTGGCGGGCACCTGTAGTCCCAGCTACTCAGGAGGCTGAGGCAGGAGAATGGTGTGAACCCAGAAGGCAGAGCTTTCAGTGAGCCGAGAGCCCGCCACTGCACTCCAGCCTGGGTGACAGAGTGAGACTTCGTCTCAACAACAACAACAACAAAAAAAAAAGAAATGTTGGACACAGCCTAAATATCTAATAAGAGAAGCATGTTAAATAAAATGTTGATATAACAGTAAAATGAGATAGTACACCGACATTACAATGATATTTGTGAAGATACTTTTAATGTGGTAGTTATAAGTGCATAGATACTTTTAAGGTGGTAGTTATAAGTGCATTAAATAGTACTTGGTCTGTGTGGACCAGATGGGTTGGAACATGTATCCCAAGTCTAAGCCTATCAGAAAAAAATGTTCCCTTGTCTTAAAGATTGTTTTAGGGGCGTGCACCAGATCTAAACATCTCTCATTAGAGTGTACCATTGATATTTTTCTAGAAATATTGGAAAAAATATTTTCTTTTATAAGAGCTTTGGAAAACAATATCTCTCTTTGAATACAGTGGTAAGAGGGTGTAAAGTCTGGAACTGATTCTAGTGGTTTGAGTTCCATACCATAAGGGAAGCTAATATGAGGAAAAGCCAAGTAAAGAAAGTAAATCTGAGAGAAGTGAAAGTAAATAAAACCAGAGCCCAGACGAACTTTTGGTGTGTGCTTGAATCTACTTCTCCTGCTGGATTTTTCAGTTCTATGGCCAATAATATCCTGGATTTTTTTCAGCCAGTTTGAATTGGGTTTACTGACCCTTGAAATATAATAAATTCTAAATGATATACACATGCTATAATACTAAGTCAGGAAGAAATGTGACTTGAAATGATAATATGCAATGTGTTCTCAATTGTGGAAAATACTTATTCACAGAAAACTCTAAAAATGTATAAAAATATTCCTACTTAATGACCATTATTTATTTTTTATTTTTTTACCCATTTTTCAAGTTTCACATTGGGTACCCATTACTTTCATTATCTAAAATATAATATTTATTTTTTCGATCCATATCTTAGGAGGCAAACTGGGCAAGTCATTTGGAATAATACATGAAGATTTGTTTTCAGCTACCAAGGCAATAAAATGCTCCTCTTGAAATAGCAAAAAAAAAAAAAAAACCTTTTGTAATTCATAAAAATCTTGGGGAATATTTATCTCAGTGAGTTAATCTAGCCTGTCTTCCATGCAAACCAGGAATAGGGAAGTTGTTCAGTTGCAGAATGAAATTGATAAATTATCTGTGGTATAATAAGGTACTCTTCAATTTCTACATCTTTATGGAGGATTACATGCAGCTAAGACAGAAACTTGTTCCCTGCCCCTGGAAAAGATGGGCATTGTCTCTTTCCTGGGGTTACTCAGCTTTAAAAAGTTAATTTTAATTGAAATTTTCACATGGTTTTAATAACAGGAAAATAGCCACTATTATAAATTAATAATAGTGATAATGTCACTATCATCAACTGTTTTTAGATTCAGTAATGGTTCCTTTGTACAGTAAAATGCAATAGGCTGATTTCTGATTAATGCATGGTTATCAAACTCAAATATTATTTTAAAAGTGAGCAACAGTAACAATTCTTCAAAATAAAATTGTAATAAAGAGTGTTGCCACAATGTCAAAATCCCACTGCCATAAACACCCACTATTTATCCAAGTGTTTCTGTGGCTTTGGCTGTTACATTAATTTCAGTATTGGTAGGCACTATAGAATTGTTCTCTCATCAAAGCAATGAGTGGAAAAGTACAATTATATATTCTCCAAGTCCTTATTTTTAGCGGATGCCACTTTTCTATTAGATTTGGGAGTGATATACCAAAGTGATAGTATTTGAAATATTTTTCTTACTTCTATGGCAGTATAATATATACATAGATAACCAGAAAATCTGCCTCATCACAAATATAATGTTTTATATGATGATTTGCAGAACAAAACTCCACTTTTCTTGAAGTTATATGCCCTATGTTTGAAGGGTTCCATCAGACAGAACACTTTATTTGATTAGACCTTGAATGATTTACACATTTACACAGGATTAGTGAGACAGACATGCTCCTTTGAAATTGTGCACTCAGACATAGCTGGGCTCATCAGCCTGTGCATTCCAACTGGCCAAGTCCTGCGAGTCCTCACGCTAAGCCCATTCCTGGTTCTGAATCAAAGGTTAATATTTGGAGTAGCTTATCAATATGTATAATCAATAATGATATTATGACACATCAGCTATTACACATTCTGGTATCCTTCAAAACTTTTCTACAGAAAAACTAAATTTAAAATACTGAAAAACAAATAACAAAACAACATTAAAAAATAAAGGTTAGATTTTGAAACAATAGCAATAAATTTTTATTAAGTTCTTATTTATCTGTATATGATAGGAATTGTTTTTATGTCTATACCTTTCCCTCAGATTTTAAGAGATTTCATTTTAAAGAATTTCGTATTGAAAAATAGCCTTAAAGAAAGACGCTCAGTTGATTACAAAAGCATATAACCAAAAGTCACTAAAGAAAATCCCAAAGCAGCCTGCTCAAGTAAGTATAGTCCCTCAGTCTGTAATGAGTGTGTGAAGAGTGATTTAAGTCTGCTTTCTCGATGTGAGATAATGAGATGGAAAATGTGAATGGTCTGCCAATATACTGCTCAGGCACACATGGAAGGGGGTCCTAGGCCTTCTAAAGTCTAGTTCAAGCTCCCAAACACGAAACCACAAAGAGTTAATGATAATTGAGATCATATGCTTCTTATCAAAGCTTCCTTAAAAAAAAAAAAAAAGCAGCTTAAGGGAAAATTCGTAAATATGTGTCTTAACCACAGTCTACCAATCCCCTTCCGCATTGGAGCCTTTAGCTAATTTGTTGACTTAATTACCCAAGGCACAGGAAGGTTAAACAGAGTGATAATCTGATTTTCTCTGATTGCTGATCACTGCAGAAAGTGGTCCGTGGGAAGCAAAAATAAACCTAGAACCTTAGGCTATGTAAAATGGAGAAGTGAGGCAATTATCCAGATAATTCAGGCAAAGTTGACTGTTTACAGTAATCAAATTATCTGGATAAGTACATAACCTACTGTCTGTCTACAGGAACAATGGCTTTAATCATATCATCTGGTCTGATTAAATAAGTTATTCTTTCTATCTGTATTTAGTGTAAATTATTTCAATTTAATAGTCAAATTCATACATAAAAACCTATTATAATACCCTATAAAAATATCATCCCAAATGGTGGGGATATTAATAATATTTTGTCCAAGTAAAGAATGAGTGCTTCTCTTTAAATAATTAGAAAACATGAGACCACAGAAAGAAAAAAAAAATGTGGGAAAAACAAATTTACTGTGGTGAGATTAATGCAAAGTCCTGTATGAAAAGTGAGGTAAGAAAAGTTGAAATTATCATGGTAAATGGAAGTTTATTCCATACCACATCACTAGAAAATTTACATGCTGAAGCTCTCTGATTGTCAAGAGGCACCAAAATAAAATCTTTCAATAGAAGATTCAGTTAACTCATTTTCTTCTCACTTTTAATACTTCGTTGTTTTAGACATTTTAGAAAATACAGAAAATTATAAAGAAAACCAAAATCACAGTCCAGAGAACACCACTCTTAATGTTAATTGCATCTGTTTTTCTGGACTTTTAAATAATTTTATATGATGGTATTTGAGCTTCTGGATCAAATCAGGAATAATTTTTCAATTATGTCCATCAGTTTTGAAAATGGAATTGTAATATATATGCTGTTTTGAAGATGCAGTTTCCATTGGGCAATATCTCAGTGTCTTCTTATATCAGTAAATATGTAGACATGGCATCGTTTTTAATACACTTATCTGAATATGACACAGACATAAGCCCTACTTTTGGGCATTTAGGTTATTTCTAATTTTATTATAAACAGCTAAGTGTTGGATATTCTCACACATGCATGTTTACATACTCACCTGATTTAATTTTTTCCTAGCTTAGATTTCTAGAAATGGTATTACTAAGTCAAAGAAAATGAACCTTTTATGGTCTTTAGTATATATATTGGTCAACTGAATGCTATACATTTTTTATAACTTTTTTTTTTTTTTTTTTTTTTTTTTTTGAGATGGAGTCTCGCTCTGTCACCCAGGCTGGAGTGCAGTGGCGGGATCTCGGTTCACCGAAAGCTCCGCCTCCCGGGTTCACGCCATTTTCCTGCCTCAGCCTCCTGAATAGCTGGGACTACAGGCACTCGCCACCACGCCCGGCTAATTTTTTGTATTTTTCAGTAGAGACGGGGTTTCACCGTGTTAGCCAGGATGGTCTCAATTTCCTGACCTCGTGATCCGCCCGCCTCGGCCTCCCAAAGTGCTGAGATTACAGGCATGATCCGCCGCACCCAGCACATTTTACAACTTTTAAGTGTCACAAGCTGGGTACAAGAGCTTGTACCTGGTTCCTCACAGCATGTCATCACTAAATAACATCTTAATTTAAAATCAATTAACATCTTATTTTAAAATTTAAAAATATTTTTGGTTCAGCAATTTGATATGTAAAAAAGGCAAATTTCTTGCTCTTTGCATTTTATGTAAAATGAATATATTTTCATAATTTATTTTCCATTTGTTTTTTATAGTTTCTCTTTTATGAGTCACCTATTTGGATATTTGAATTTTTTATCTTTTGGGATAGTTTTTCATGTTTTAAAAAATAATTTTACCTTCATGTTCTTTTCAATTTCTAAGAGTTCATTTTCATAGTAAGAATATAAAACCTCTGTCTATGGCGATCTTGCAATAATTTTCTCAGTTTTTCAGTTGCCTTATTATATTTTAATTTTTTTTTAGTTTAGAAGCTTCTCAAATTTATGTAATTAAACTTACAATCTTTTTCTCTATTGTTTCTTCCTTTTAATCATTGCCTATAAAGTCTTTCATTTCCAGAATAAGCTATGTGTATACCCATGTGTTTTTTAAGTGCCAGCACATTTTATTATTATTTTAAAATTTAGATCTTTAATCCTTTTGGAAGAAAAATTCATCACCAATAAAATAAATTTATAGTTTATCTTAATAAAATAAAATATTAGGGCATTTGACTTTATTAGTTGTGATTATCCTATCCTGGGTCTTCAAAAGTTGGTGATTTGATACATTAAGATTGGCACCCGGGCCGGGCGCGGTGGCTTACGCCTGTAATCCCAGCACTTTGGGAGGCCTAGGCGGGCGGATCACGAGGTAGAAGATCGAGACCGTCCTGGCTAACACGGTGAAACCCTGTCTCTACTAAAATACAAAAAATTAGCCGGGCGTGGTGGCTGGCGCCTGTAGTCCCAGCTACTCGGGAGGCTGAGGCAGGAGAATGGCATGAACCCGGGAGGCGGAGCTTACAGTGAGCGGAGATCGCGCCACTGCACTCCAGCCTGGGCAACAGAGCAAGACTCCGTCTCAAAAAAAAAAAAAAAAAAAAAAAAGATTGGCACCCGAGGCACACAGGCTACCTAAAGTGACATTGAAACTGCTCTGGGGATCTCAAAAGTGCTTAACTCAAAGACTGCTATTCAGAATACCTAGGATAAAAATAAAATCATAAATGAGTTCAGAAAGGAAAAACCAAGCTGTGTGCAAAAAAATAGCAAATGAAATCACATTCTTTGATTAATATGGTATTTTGGAAGACATAAGGAAGAAAGCATTTTAGGTTCTGAAATAAAGTAATGTAACCTAGACCCTTCATCCAGCATTCAAGTGTGAGTACAGAATGAGAACTTTTTTACTTACAAGGAGGAATTCAGTAATTTTACATTTCAGAAGGATTTTCCTTGAGAAGTTAACTTGAAATGTTTCTGCAAAATAAAAGCATATGAAGTGGAATTCATTTGATTCAAGAGTCCAAGTTTTCAAACCAGGAAAGCAGTCATGGGACAGTCCATCATAACCGCTGTGCAGCAAGGTGAGGGCACCCAATCAACAGGAGCAGGGAGAGAGGATTTGGGAGAGATCTATAAGAAAAAAAAAAAAAAGGTGTGCGAAAGGATTTATAGCATCAATAATAGGATAGAGAATTGGAGAATAATAAGTAGTGAATGATAAAGGAAAACTTCAAGAAACTAAATGAAGGACATTAGAAACTTTAAGAGCAATAACTAGTTCTTTCAAACAAGAAAGGAACTCAAATGAAGCATAATTTTGAGCAACTGATGAGGCATAGAAAGGGAAAAGTTCATTTGACACTCATGCTAGGAACAGTCTCCATTGATTTGCCCAAGAGTTGAGGCAATAAAACTCTAAACATGAAAATATAATTCTAGCATATCACTTGACCTAACCATATCATCTTATTTTCATAGTCATAATAATATAAATCCTGCAATTGATCTCCAACTTTTACAGCCTACTGATAAGAATATGTATCAAGACTTTACGTAGTTGTCAGACAGAATGAAATTATTCACAATTTTGATAATGTACAACTAAAAATGTAGTTGACAGAAAAATGGGAAATAGAGAAAAGGTAGAGAAATACTGGGGCCCCATTTTACAAAGTAGGAATGAAAAAGTACTGTGAAAAATTGATAGCGTAACAATCAGAGCTATAAGTATGTATATTAAAGCTTATAAAGGTAACCAGTATAAGAACTAACAAATAATTTGTAAATTCTGATATGTGTAAATAGATGGGGAATGGGATACAGTAGGTGAGTGAAATCCTTATTTTCCGTGTTGGAGAACTAATAGGTATTGTCTAAATTAGATAAAACAGTAAATAGAAGTTCAAATACATATAGTTATGAAAGCATCATAAAAATTATAGAATGCATGCTATGGGCAAAGGGCATAACTGTTGCTTTTCACTAACTTTTCTGTAGTATTTGACTTGTTATCAAGTATCTGCAGTGCTTTGATAAAACTCAAACCTAAAAATAAGAAATGAAAAAAATGCCTAAGAAAATTGTAATCACAATAAGTATGTCATCACACATGCTAAAACTTTTCTGGATGAAAGATACAAACTGGCCATGCCAATAAAATGTGAATGGAACTTAACCGAGGAGTTTGGCAGAGGAATGGCTGGGTTATCTGTAGCAGATAGTTTCTCTGCATTTAGCTGAAAGCATGGTTGTCCAGAATTAAGGCTATTTCTCAGTCTCTCTTAACAGCTGGCAATGGTCATGTACCTCTGCATTTAGCTGAAAGCATGGTTGTCCAGAATTAAGGCTATTTCTCAGTCTCTCTTAACAGCTGGCAATGGTCATGTAACTAAGTTCTGGGTAATGATATGTTGAGTGGGAGTGGTGTGTGCAGTATTCTGATTGAGCCTGTGGAGGGAAGCATGTGCTCTTCACTTCCTGTTTCCTCCCTTCTAGCTGCCTGGAACATAAACTTATAATGAATTTAAATTAGGAAAAATCAAGATTAGACAAACTTCCTTGCTCTAGTTCATCAGCAATGAATAATAGAACTTAAACATAGGTATTTTGACACAAATTATCCACTAAGCATATAATTCAAAATATTCGATTGAATTCTTTACTCCCACAATAATTTAGCATTCTAAAACATTAATTTGCTGAAGAGAAATTGGCTTTTGGATGAGTTAGGGCATTTACTAAAAGGTTCCTTTATTACTGAAGAGTGGTTAGTAGACTGAAACACTCAGATAATTTGAAATTATTAATTTTATGAGATGATCTTTAAAAATACTTTTTGAAAATCAAATTATGCTTTCAGATTTTCCAGGTCAAAATTTGTATTGTAATTTTATTACAATTGTGTTAGAATTAAACACACATCCAAGACAATCTTGAAAGACAGACACAGTTGGAAGAGTCATACTCCCTCATTATAAAAGTTACTACAAAATTATAGAATTCAAGACCATATGATACTGGCAAAAGGATAAACATATAATCCAATGGAATGTAATTGAAAGCCCAGAGATAAATCCATACATGATAAGTTAATTTTCAGCCGGGTGCCAAGACCATTAAATGGGAAAAGAATAGTCTTTTCTTCTAGGGATTTTATGGTTTTAGGACTAACATTTAAGTCTTTAATCCATCTTGAATTAATTTTTGTATAAGGTGTAAGGAAGGGATCCAGTTTCAGCTTTCTACGTATGGCTAGCCAGTTTTCCCAGCACCATTTGTTAAATAGGGAATCCTTTCCCCATTTCTTGTTTTTGTCAGGTTTGTCAAAGATCAGATAGTGGTAGATGTGTGGTATTATTTCTGAGGGCTCTGTTCTGTTCCATTGGTCTATATCTCTGTTTTGGTACCAGTACCATGCTGTTTTGGTTACTGTAACCTCGGCCTCGTAGTATAGTTTGAAGTCAGGTAGCATGATGCCTCCAGCTTTGTTCTTTTGGCTTAGGATTAACTTGGCAATGTGGGCTCTTTTTTGGTTCCATATGAACTTTAAAGTAGTTTTTTCCAATTCTGTGAAGAAAGTCATTGGTAGCTTGATGGGGATGGCATTGAATCTATAAATTACCTTGGGCAGTATGGCCATTTTCACGATACTGATTCTTCCTATCCAAGAGCATGGAATGTTCTTCCATTTCTTTGTATCCTCTTTTATTTCATTGAGCAGTGGTTTGTAGTTCTCCTTGAAGAGATCCTTCACGTCCCTTGTAAGTTGGATTCCTAGGTATTTTATTCTCTTTGAAGCAGTTGTGAATGTGAGTTCACTCATGATTTGGCTCTCTGTTTGTCTGTTATTGGTGTATAAGAATGCTTGTGATTTTTGCACATTGATTTTGTATCCTGAGACTTTGCTGAAGTTGCTTATCAGCTTAAGGAGATTTTGGGCTGAGACAATGGGGTTTTCTAAATATACAATCATGTCATCTGCAAAACAGGGACAATTTGACTTCCTCTTTTCCTAATTGAATACCCTTTATTTCTTTCTCCTGCCTGATTGCCCTGGCCAGAACTTCCAACACTATGTTGAATAGGAGTGGTGAGAGAGGGCATCCCTGTCTTGTGCCAGTTTTCAAAGGGAATGCTTCCAGTTTTTGCCCATTCACTATGATATTGGCTGTGGGTCTGTCATAAATAGCTCTTATTAATTTGAGATACATCCCATCAATACCTAATTTATTGAGAGTTTTTAGCATGAAGGGCTGTTGAATTTTGTCAAAGGCAATACCATTCAGGACATAGGCATGGGCAAGGACTTCATGTCTAAAACACCAAAAGCAATGGCAACAAAAGCCAAAATTGACAAATGGGATCTAATTAAACTGAAGAGCTTCTGTACAGCAAAAGAAACTACCATCAGACTGAACAGGCAACCTACAGAATGGGAGAAAATTTTTGCAATCTACTCATCTGACAAAGGGCTAATATCCAGAATCTACAAAGAACTCAAACAAATTTACAAGAAAAAAACAACCCCATCAAAAAGTGGGTGAAGGATATGAACAGACACTTCTCAAAAGAAGACATTTATGCAGCCAACAGACACAAGAAAAAATGCTCATCATCACTGGTCATCAGAGAAATGCAAGTCAAAATGAAAACGAGATATCATGTCACACCAGTTAGAATGGCGGTCATTAAAAAGTCAGGAAACAACAGGTGCTGGAGAGGATGTGGAAAAATAGGAACACTTTTACACTGTTGGTAGGACTGTAAACTAGTTCAACCATTGTGGAAGACAGTGTGGTGATTGCTCAGGGATCTAGAACTAGAAATACCATTTGACCCAGCCGTCCCATTACTGGGTATATAGCCAAAGGAATATAAATCATGCTGCTATAAAGACACATGCACATGTATGTTTATTGTGGCACTACTCACAATAGCAAAGACTTGGAACCAACCCAAATGTCCAACAATGATAGACTGGATTAAGAAAATGTGGCACATATACACCATGGAATACTATGCAGCCATAAAAAATGATGAGTTCATGTCCTTTGTAGGGACATGGATGAAGCCTGAAACCATCATTTTCAGCAAACTATCGCAAGGACAAAAAAAAACAAACACTGCATGTTCTCACTCATAGGTGGGAATTGAACAATGAGAACACTTGGACACAGGAAGGGTAACATCACACTCTGGGGCCTGTTGTGTGGTGGGGGGAGGCGGGAGGGATAGCATTAGGAGATATACCTAATGTAAATGATGAGTTAATGGGTGCAGCACACCAACATGGCACATGTATACATATGTAACAAACCTGCACATTGTGCACATGTACCATAGAACTTAAAGTATAATAAAAAATATACGTATATAAAAGAAAGAATAGTCTTTTCAACAGATAGCTGTAGGACAACTAGATATTCTTTTTTTTTTTTTTTTTTTTTTTTTTGAGACGGAGTCTCGCTCTGTCGCCGACAACTAGATATTCTTATGCAAAAGAATTAAGTAGGACTCTTACCTCACATCATAAAAAATTAACTCAAAATGGAATAAAGACTGAAATCTAAGAGTTAAAACTACAAAACTCTTAGAAGAAAACATACGGGTAAATTTTGATACCTAGGATTATGCAGTGGTTTCCTAAATGCCATAGCAAAAGCACAGGATACAAAAGAAAAAAAAAATAGATAAACTGGACAATAACACTAACAAAAAAGGAAAAAGACAACCCAAAGAATGGGAGAGGATATTTGCAAGTCATTTATCTGATAATAGTCTGCCATTCAGAATACACAAAGAACTGTTACAACTTAATAACGAAAAGACAATAACCTAACTTTAAATAGGGAAAGGACTTCAGTAGGCATTTTTTCCAAAGAAGATGTGTAAATGACCAACGAATACACAAAAATATGCTCAACATCATTAGTCATTAGGGAAATGCAGATAAAAACCAAACACCACATGTTCTCACTCATAAGTAGAAGTTTAACATTGAGAACACATGGACACAGGGAGGGGAACATCACACACTGGGACCTGCTGGGGGTTGGGGAGCTAGGGGACGGATAGCATTAGGAGAAGTACCTAATGTAGATGACGGGTTGATGGGTGCAACAAACCACCATGGCATGTATATACCTAAGTAACAAAACTGCACGTTTTGCACATGTACCCCAGAACTTAAAGTATAAAAAAAACCTTGAGATAATTATTCATAACTAGTGGGTTGGTTACAATATAAAAGATAGACATTAAAAATGTTGTTGAAGATGCAGAGAATTTGAAGCCCTCATAAATTACTGATGAGAATGTAAAATGGTGCGAACACTTTCCTCAAAAAGTTAAATATAGAGTCACCATATGACCCAGCAATTCTACCCCTAGGCATATACAAAAGAGAACTGAAAATATATGTCCACCAAAAACTTATACATAAATGTTCATAGCAGCATTATTCATAATAGCTAAAAAGTGAAAACAACCGTCTACCAGTGAAGAGTGGATACACAAAATGCAGTGTATCCAAACAATGAAATACTACTGAAACTTTAAAAAGAATGAAGTACTGATACAAGTTACAACATGAATAAACCTTGAAAACCTTATGCCAAGTGAAAGACATCAGTCACAAAAGGCCTCATATCACTGGAGTCCATTTATACAAAATGTTTAGAATAGGCAAATTCTGAGACAGAAAGTGGAGAAAATATTACCACAGGTTGATGAGGATTGAATGGGGAGTGACTGCTAATGGGTATGGAGTGTGACATCGAGGAGATGAAAATGGCTTGGAATTAGAGAGTGGTAATGGCTATACAGTTTTGTGAATATACTGAAAACAACTGAATGGTGTTGTGAAAAGTATTATGATATTTGAATTACTTTTTTTAAAAGCATACAGTAAGCACATATCGTATCAGGAAAGAATATCAGAAAAGAATAGGCATCTATTGCTTTGGTGGTCATTGTATTCTTCCAAGCATCATGAAGAAATAATTAAAACAGATTCAGGTAAATCAAAGACTTGCACTTAATTTTATCCAATTTAAAATCTTTTTTAGTAATTTTTTTCCTGTTGCCGTATATGTTACTCTTTCTTTCAAAACTGTAGTACTTAAAAAAAAATTCTTGTGTGCAATTTGAGAATGAAAGGCTCATATTAGCTTTAACTGCCAGTGGGGTAGACCTGCTGGCACCATTAACAAAAGGGGAGTATTCTGACACTCGGGAAAGATGCTCTTATTTCCCTGGTCCACAAAGAGCCAAAGGCAAGCCCTATTATTAGAGCCAGTGAGGCCAGATTCACCATATGATTAATCACCCAAGTAGAGGCAAAAATTCAGGTTGGATTGCACCTAGTGTGTGGGTCAGAGAGCTTTTCCTGAGCCTGTTAAGGGTTTCAGGCTTGTAATTTCCTCCTTCTACAATAAACTCTCTTCTACCATGCTGTAAAAAAAAAAAAAAAAAGTTTGAGTGATGAATCCTCCTGGAAGCAAAGTGGTTGCCAAAATATCAGACCAGGGAAATGACAAGAGGACTTGATTTTATTATTTAGCTACACACCATGCTTCAAATACCTCAAGCAGGATTTAAAAAGACATCTCTAAATTTCAGTCTCATCATTTTCAGTTTTTGCCATTACAACTCTTCTCTCTCTGTGTGTGTGTGTGTGTGTATATACATGTATATATACACATACATATATACATTATATATGCACACAAACAGAGATTGAGAGAGGGAGGAGAGAGAGAGAAAAGTAATGTGGTATTGCATGGCAAGGTCATAGTTTAAAAATATCTTGCCTTTTCCCAAAGTCTTTAAAAATATCTGCAATCAACTAAGCAACCAATTACTGTACATCCCAAATGCATGTTTTCACAGCTATTTTTAGGGGCAAGATTCAGTCACGACACATCCTGTTCACTCATAACAACAGACAGCCGTAGAGGGCAGCTAATGAGTAGGTAGCCAAATGACAATGTCTCCTTACTTTTGACTTTGCTTCCAAGGCCCGAGTGGCTGCCTGACCGTCTCCACTCTGGCGTCAAACAGTCCCCCTGCAGTATGCAGACAATTTAAATTATTACAAGGCAATGTTGCAAGTATGAGCCCTGGCCCAAAATAAAGTAATTACATTCAATTAGCAGTCCCCAAAGTGATGGTCCAATACTAAGAGCTTTAGATGTTGCCTTTGGTTGACTTACAGAAGCCAGGTAATGAGTGAAACTTCAAAGTGTAAGAGACTAAATTACTGCTTAATTAGTGGAAACTAGATCAGAAAACATGGCAAAAGAGAAAAAAAGAACACATACCCACAATTTTCTTTTGTTGAAGGAATTCAGATAATATGCTCCATTTCCCAAATAACAACAACTGAATACCTCAACACAGGAATGTTCTGAGGAAAAACCCAAGGGAATGACGTTGTTGGAAGTGTTTTCTGGGGAAAACATTGAAGTTGATGCCATATCTGCCCCCCCAGTGACATGTCTTCTCCTTTTAACGAAAATCAATGTTTCTTGTTTGATGTTAAAAAGTAAAGTTAAATAGAATTATATTAGATATTTCCTAAATCCCACTACTGGTCCCATCAGTATCTTTTTGCATAGTACACTGATAAGTTTGCTTCTTGGAAGAATAATCCTGAACTCAAATATGGCCAGACAAATTCTGAAAAATGAAGAAATATAGGGGAAGCTACCTTTGCTGATAATTAAAACATAATTTATGTTTTTTAAGTATATGTATTTATATATATATAATTTACTACACAAAAAAGGTGACATTGTCTCTCTGTGAAATAAAGATGGTTAGTCAATAAGTGGGTTGAGGCAAATGGTTAAATTTGTAATCACTTATTATACCAAAATATATTTCAGATGGATCAGAGATTTAAATAAGAAAAATAAAACTAGGACTTAATAAATGTGTAAAGAAAAATCTAAGAATTAACCAATCTAAGAATTATACCAAATCCTGACCACAAAACGTAGATAATTTTTATTTATTGTAATATTGAAATTATCTATATTAAAATTTAAAATTATCTATAAGAAAAATAATAATAAAAATAAATAACAAACAACATGTATTTACCATAAGTACTACACACAGAGGGCTAGTGTCTTTAATGCATAAAGACCAGCAACACATTTACAACGAATTTAGTAACAAATACCCAATAGAAAATATAAAAAATATCAATAGAAAATAAAATGAGCAAAGGTTAGAAACAGCAGGAACAACAACAACAAAAAAGCCTTAAACATGAGATGAATCTCAACCTCACCTACAATCAGTCAATGCCAAAAGTAATATACCATTTTTGATTTATGAGATTTGCAAATTTCAAAGTTCAAAACATTTTGTGCCTGAGAGTCTAGGGATGCAGACAACTCATACACAATTAGTGAAATGGGTTCAACCTCTATACAAGGCAATTTTGCAATACTATCAAAATGTAAAATTTATAAACCATTTGACTTCTAGCATCTTCCTACATATACAAAGGACATGTACAAAGGTATTCATTGCAGCTTATTTATAATAGCAAAAGAAAAACAATATAGATGTCTAATAAAAAATGACTAGTCGAGTACATGAAGCTGGTCAAAAAGAATGATATACTCTATATGTACTGAATTGTAATTATATGAAATTAAGAAAAATTATATGAAATTAAGAAAAAGCATGATGCTTTCAGTAGCATAGGAGACTATCATTTGTAATAAAAGCAGTAATACACATATACTGTCGTCCATCTCTGGAAAAGTATCTAGTAAAAGTCTTGGGAAAAAGAGACGGGTAGGAGAGAAACTTTAGACTACATTTTTCATATTATACCAAGTGTATGTATTTTATATTCACATAAACACATTAATTGAAATGCCCAAGGGAACATTTTAATATAATGTTCTTTTCCAAAGTCTTGGGTCTGCTTTAATGAATTGAATTATAATTTGATAGCTCCAAAATTTATAGGTATGAAACTCAGAGTAGTCCTCGAATTCTATGTGCAATAAATGAATTTTCTGACTGGATGAAATGCTTATATCCTCTGGTTAGAAGACAAATATTAAAAGAAATTGATTAATTATTTATTTTAATCACAACTTCCATCTTCACCTTCTTCTGTCTGCCTTCTCCATCCTTTATTCCATATTCAAGTTGCAAAAAAGAGAAAGCTAGACAAAAACTTAAAACTGTCTTTATAAATTGAACATTGGTATAAAACGAGGACACAGTAATTTTTTACATGGGTAATAATAGAAAAATAATCTGATGATTGATTCATAACCTCCTTTTACTCATTTATGAATAGTTATATAAATCTTTAACACCAGAGCCTTAAAATAAATTATTCATTTCATTCCCTAAATGAGACACTATTAGGCTTATGTCTTCTTACATGCCCCATAAGGTAATAAAGAAAAATGGTTTTCAAGAGTTTAATCTTCTACATCCTATCTTAATTTGTGAAATCACTTTTCAAGTTACTGATAAAAATATCTATTGTCATTTAAATAAAATATATGTATCTGATTGATTACTTCATATTTTATATAGCTACTGATTGTGTGTAATGTGTAAAATCTGTATTTTCATCATGACAAGGTGGGGAAAGATTTCCCCAATGGAAAGACTGTATCTTCATTTAATTCTCATCCACTTTCTGTTCCAGAAACATTTGGGCAAATTGAGTAGTTAGGTAATGACCAAAATAGATCAATTAAATTCCAAACCTCTCTCTTTCCCTAACTTTACCATGAGGAGGAAGAAGTACACAAATTCAGATCATTGCTTCTTCTAAGTATGTCTTGAGGTTTTTATTTATATGAGTGCTTTTCCAGCTACAGTGTTTCCTAATTACTTTTAAGAACAATAATCCTCACATACCCTTTGATCAAGCAGTCCCAGATTTAACAATCTATCCTATCATAATAAAAGCAACAGATAAAGGATATGAGCTATAAAAATAATCATTTCTACACTATTGATAACGACAAACCCTGAAAACAACCTGTATGCCCAAGAACAGGAGAAAAGTGATGATATATTTATATGATAAAATATTATGGAACTATTAAAAAGCAGTGAGATATATGTTATTAAATACATGTGTAATAACTTCACTCTCATAAAAACAAACTTCAACCAAAAACCCAAAAACCTATTGTGTGAAATATGTATGTAAGAGAATGTACTTGTTGTATGACCAAGGAGAAATGTGGAAGAATACACATCAAGCTCTTATCACGTATCACTTGAGGTGACGGAGTATATCAGTTAGGTTGCCTTTAGCTGCAGATACTAGAGATCCAAATTCAAACTGATTTCAAAAGTAAGGAAATAAATTGGAATAGAAATCTACTGCAGTAATCCAGCTAGAGAATGATTTCAGGCTAAGTGCCTCCCTGGCTGTGTTCTCCCTTGGCTGTTTCCTTAGCATTGCTTTTTTTCTTCTTTTTTCATACTGGAAAAATATCCAATGCAATCCTTTGTTTTATATCTATATTTCTAAGGCAACTGTCTAATTTATCACTTACCTGGAAAATTCTGGAGAGTGAAAGGTAATGTAATTAATACTTACTGTAGGACAGTGGGCATAAACTGGAACTGTCCTAGGCAAACGAAAATCTGTGGCTGTCTTTCACATGTCACAACACCCAAGGGAAAAGAGAGATGGCCTCTTCCACAGGTTTTACCTTAAGAGAGAAACTAATTTCTCAGAAGCCCCATGTTTTCTTTAAGATTCACTGGCCTGAATTGAGTAATTTCGCTATTCATGATCCAAGCCCTATGGCTGGGGGATTGCCTAGCACTGACTGTGTTTTAGACTAGCCCCTCATTCATTGGATAGAAGGATGAGTAATTCTGAACCAGTAATTTTCAGAGCGTGGCCAGGGGACCTCTGGGGATCCCTGGGACCCATTCTTCATAAAATAAGTCATTTTTAATGTAAAATGGGTTTATTGTCAGGCATGGTGGCTCATGCCTATAATCCTAGCTACTTGAGAGGCTGAGCCAGGAGGATCGCTTGAAGCCAGGAGTTAGAGACCAATGTGAGCAACATAGTGAAAGCCCTTCTTTAAAAAATAAGCATAAAGAAAATTAGTCAGGCACAGTAGCACACACATCTGTAGACCACCTACCCTGGAGGCCGAGGTGGGAGGAATACTTGAGTCCAGTTCGTTGAAGATCAGCCTGGGTGATATGGAAAGATTTCCTTCTAAAAGAAAATGATGTTTATTCTTACTATTTTAAAAATAGTTATTTTAACTGCTAACATAGTAAATATTAATAGATATGACCCAGATAAACAAAAAATAGTTGGAATCCTCAGTAATTCCAAGAGGGTAAAGGGGTCCTGGGAACAAAAAGTTTGGCAATTCTACCTTAGACCAGTCATGTGAACTCACCTGGGGCTTGGCATTTTAATCCTAGACGTTTTAATATAATTTGAGTAAAATTTACTATAACCTAATTTCTACATACCGATCATAATATTTACTAATGTTTAAAGTGAATTTTGTCTCTGAATTTAAGATATCTAGAAAATTTAGGTTCTTCTATGAAGATAAACAGTTTATTTCTAGACTTTTGTAATAGTGCTAGTTAAATATTGTTTGTTAAATTTGTTAAAATATTTTTATTACATTAAATCAATTTTTGAACTAGCACTGTCTCTATTCCTAACCTGCTTTTTAGAATAAAAATTAATATGTGTGTCAGAAAATTTTGAAAGAAAAATAATTAGGAACTATTGAATATTTTTCTCCATTACTAATGATGGAAATTTAATTTTGTCAAATGCCTCCACCATTAATTAAGATCATATTTTCCCCTCCCATGTTAATAGATTTTATACTTCTGAATCATCCTTACATTTCAGGTTTGAATCACACTTCATTATTTTGTAACATACCTGAAATATACTGCTAAAATTTGTTAATATTTATTTATATGATCTTTACACCTGTATTCAAACATGCAATTACTCTATGGTTTGATCTTTAGTATCTATGTTTGCCAGGTTTAACTTCAATGTTATACTTTAAAAAAACAAGTAAAAAGGTTTTTTATGTTCTGAAGAAAACCTATAAATGGAAAAGGAAGACATTTATTTATAAAACTATGATATATACTTAGTATGACAGGCATTATTCAAAGTATTATCGAATACTAGTTTATTTAATCCTTATAACAACACTATGTAGTAGGTATTATTATTATTTCTATTTTATAGGTAAGAAATGGAGGCACAGAGAAGATAAGTAACTTGGCCAAGATAACACAGCTTATAAATGGCAAAATTAGGTAAAATTTGACTCCAAATGGCCTGAGAGTTCATGCTCTGACACAATTTGAACCTTGAGCTTCTTTTCGTGGTTGACTTTTTTTTCTTTTTACATTTTTTAGTTTTTTCTAGGATCTCTATGATTTCCATTATGGATAAAAGTTATTCATCCAATGTGGCAAATTTTGCTTTGAGTTTTGCAAAAGAGTTGACTGAAGGCTTCTGAACAGATGAACAGTTTAAAGCATCTGCTTAAGATGAAAATTTAAGCATCACTATTCCTCTGTTTAAAAACATCTACTGAACACTTCATATGACTCAGACACTGATTTGGATAAGGGAAGTATAGTAGTGAACACTCACAAAATAGATCACATCTCTGTCCTCATAGCAATTATGTTCAAATGAGACAAGACACAGAAAACAAATAAATGAGTAGTGGTAAGTGCCAAGAGAAAAATAAAATAGGACAAGGAGACACAGAGTAATGGGAGAGAGAACAGACTGTTTTAGACAGTGTGTCAGGGAATATCAGAATGAAGTGATGGAGCCAGCCATGTGGATAGGTATCTGGGGAGAGTATTCCACCAGCAACGGAAAATACGTCAGCAGCAATGTGCATGTAGTGTTCTAGAAGCAGTGAAGAGGACTATATGGCTGGCACAGTATGACAGAGGAAAACGTGGTAAAGGATGTAATTAAGAGGTTTCTGGGGGCCAACTTATGTAGGATTTTGTAGGCCACAGTAAAAACTAATTTACTTTCATTAAGATGAAAAGCCATAAGATGACTTTCAGCAGAATGGCATAAATGGAATTACATACTCAAAGACATTCTTCTGACTCCTAATTGAGGAAGAATCTATGATGGAGCCAGGCTGAAAACAAGAAGACAGAATTGGATTGGTATTGCAACCTTTGAGGAAATAGTGGCTATCACTAACTTGATAGCAGTGGAAATGATGAGAAGTACTTCAGTTCTGTATATAATTAGAAGGTAGAGCTGACCAGAATCTTTGCAGAATTAGCTATAAAAGGAAGAAGTCAAGGATGACTCAAAAATGTATGATTTCAGCAGCTGTAAGGATGCCAGGCTGTTTCTTGAGTGTGAAAGCCCAGAGAAGGAGCAAATTTAAGGAAAATGATTAAAAATTTGATTTTGCCCATGTTAATTTTGAGGCAATGTATTGGTTATTACTGCTGTTATAACAAATTACCATGAACTTAATAGCTTAAAGCAACACAACCTAATTTTCTTGTAGTTTTATAGGTTAAAATGTTGGCATGTGTCTCACTGGGCTAAAATCAAGGTAGTCTCAGAGTCTGCCTTCCTTTTGGAGGCTGTAAGGGAGAATCTGTTTTCTGGCATTTCCCAGTATTTAGAAGCTTCTTGCTTTCTCTAGCTCAGGAGCCCTCTTCCATCTTCAAAGCCAGTCAGGAAGGATTGAGTCCTTCTCACATTGAATCACTCCGACTCTTCTACCTTATTCTTCCACTTTTAAGGACCTTTGTGATTATACTGGGCCCATCAAGAGAGAATCTCCCTATATTAAAGTCAGCTAATCAGCAACCTTAATTCTATCTGCAATCTTAATTTTTGTTTGCCATATAAGGCAACCTATTCACTAGTTCTGGGAATTAGAATGTGAACGTTTTGCAGGGAAGATTATTCTGCTTAACACAGATGTCTATTTGACATCCAATGGACTTATAATAAAATAGCATATCTTTTACTTTCTTAAAAAAGAAATATATAAAGAAGCAGGATAGAGGGTAAAATAAGTTTTGTTGCTCTATAAAAATGCAGAATTACCAAACCAGCTTTTAAGGCAAATTTTAATTCTAAAGCACTTAAAATAAAATTTTATTTTACAAAATTATATAGCTGTGGTAATTCTAATAGGTACAAATGTATTGGTCATCAGATTTTGTGCCGAGTGTTGTTAACCCAGTTAAGCCCTTCAAAATGGTGCTTTTGAAAAAAAAAAGTTGCTTAAAAGCCCCTAAATAAAGCCTTTAATGCTTAAGTCATAAAATTGAAAGTATGTAGTGCTATGTTATATTTTAAAAGTGCTATTTATAATCCAGCATATATAAATTAATCATGAAAAGTCCACCAGAAGATAAAATAAGAAGGGTTTTATTCTTATTAAGTAAAATATCCTTGCTAATATTTTGATTATGTACTTTGTCATATGCATATAATTATAAATACATGAATATTTATATACACAGACATTTATATTTATCTATGTTTAATGTATTTACAGTTTTAAATCTGCTTACTCATATTGGAAGCACTGCTTCATGTTGCTAATATTCTGCATACCATCACATTTAATGGTATCATAATATTCCATTGAGTCATAATTTACTTAACCAATTACCATTATCGGATACTTGGATTTTCAATTTTACTCTAAATATAACTAACATGAACAAACTTGTATTGAAATCATTGCTTATATCTAGTGACTGATTCTTGGGATAAATCCCTGAAGGAAACATTATTGTGACAAAGTTTATTTATATTTTCTAAAGCTTTCAGTATAAAATGAGAACCATTATAGTCTCTGAAACAAATACCTCAATCAATTTAACTGAATCTTATTTTAAGAGAATACACTTGATTTATCATCAGCTTCTCATATAGAAACTTCAGATAAGGATATAAAAGCCTTTGAATTTCAAATTGTGAAAATTATTAATATGTCAGGACTAATTAACATTTCAAAAGAAGGTTTGGGGAGCCCTTTTATTCTTTTGTCAACAAATGTAAACCACTATTATTAAATTTACATTGAGAAGACATATTGCCACTTTTTTCGTCTGCTTCTACTATAAATGACAAAAGAGAAACTATAGGAAATAGTAATATTTATAAAATGGTAAGTACTTAATAAGTGCCTACTAAGCTTTAGGCAGTGCACTGAGCATCTATATTTATTATCTTAAACCTTGCATAAAGCTAGAGTTAGGTAACAGTATTATTTCCTTCTCAAAGATATAAAAACCCAGGTCTCGAAAGGCAAAAAATTAGTCCACCCAGTTAGTAAATAGGGGAGCTAGGATTCAAAATCAGGTACATCTGACACTGGAGTCCTGTCTCCTAAAGTAAAATTCTGTGTTTCCTTGAGTTTCTCCTTCAGCTACTAGTAGCAGTAACAGTAGTAGTATCATTCATTCATTCATTCATTTGCTTATGAGGTTATTTAGTACCTATTATGCTCCAAGATCTCTGCTAGTTACTTGGGAGATTACAGGGAACATAATAGAGGCACTGATCTCTTGGAGCTTATAATCTTTTAGAGAAGGCAATTATTTATTCAATTGGTAATTCCACTAGAGTATATTGAGTGTTATGTTGGTGGAATCACAGAGTGCTATATAACTGTGTGTCCTCTGCACCCCCAGTATTTTATACTCATCTTCATTGGCCTTGTTACACTGAAAAATGAATTTTCACCTATGTGCTGGTTGTCCTTTATAAACTATAAACTTCTTAATAGCAGGCATCTTATCTGATTAATGTTTGTGACCCTAGCACCTAACATAGTTCCAGGCACATAGTAAGTGGGTGCCTAATAAATGTTTTTTTTTTTTTTTCCTGAAATACTCATTGATTATAACTAGTCTCTAAATAAGCAGTTTTTGACTCCTGATTCTGTTACTCTCAATGATTTATTATTGGTAAAGTGAAACTGTTAGTTATGTGATTATACTAATCAAATGAAGTTTTTGGAATTAAAAATAATGCCATCATTCGCTCTCTAATTCAACAAGTATTTTGTCCACTTACCACATATTACTTTATGTGTGGCACAAAGGACAGAAATCAGGCCCTGAGCTTACATTTAGGATTTTGACTTGAGTGGAAAAGATAAGACAAGCTTATAACAAAATACGTAGATGACCATTCAGGAACTTATTATGTATGTGAATGCATTAGTGTGTGTGTGTGTGTGCAAGAAATTCTGTATTCATCCTCAGGAAGAGTGACTATTAGAAGGAATGGGAGAGTGACTCATTGAGAGTGGTTAGGTCCCCCTTTCAGTCTTTTCTAATTGACCACCTAAGCTTTTCAGATCAATCACCAGCATGTGAAATGAACCCTTCATGCTGGATAGATCTCTCAGGACATGGAGGACATAAAGACTGCAGGTTCCATGTGGGTGGGTGTTTGAGCCCTCTGAGATCCAGAGGGTCCAATGTGGCTTTCCAGGTGTGGTACCCAGATGGACTGGACATTAGCACTGAGGCCTTGAGCCAGGGCAAGCCATAACCAAGCTGGTTATGAAGGAATGAAATCACACTCAGAGCCACTGTCCTTCAAAAAACCAGGCTGGCCTCTGCAGGGACATAGGATGAAAGCAGCAATAGGCAGAGGAAGGAAGACCCAGCAACTCAGTTGTTGTTCTGTGTGCAAGCAAGGGTTGGTGGTGGCAAACCCAGCAATGTCAAGATTCTTCCAAGGCAAGACGTTCAGAGGCCCAGAGCACTGAAAAGTTTAAGAAACTCTCACTCACTTATCCACGTGTGAATCAAAGTCAAAATAATACTAAACTATAAAATGCTAAACTTGTGTGCATGCTAAAATAAAAACACTTTCTATATTTGTAGATGAAAAAACTATAAAAAATAATAGTAAAGTAAACTTTCCTCACCTTATTGATGCCCTATTTTGCTGGCAGTCTAAACCTCTGCTTTCTTACTCTGCATAAAGGGTAAGCACTGGCCCTTTCGCTCTGGACAAGGGAAGCTGGGGGACCTATTTCCTGGGCTGATTTTTTTGTATTATCTAAGATGGTAAACAGGTGGCCTTAAGAATATGGTCCTGGACTTCCTGCTAACCTTAAACTGTTTTATATTTCTAGAACCTCGTTCTGATAGAATATGATAAATAAACAGTGTGATTTTATTCACCCCCTGAGTGGTACAAAACAATTCATATTCATTATAGTTAAAACATAAGGGAGAAAGTGCCAAGAAGTGTATGAGAAGTTTAAATAAATTATTAATAGAAATTCAGAAAACAGACGCAATTACATTAGGAATCTGAAAAGATTTATGGAAGACTTTGCATTTTGGCTTTAAGTGTAATGGAAGTTCAGGGATAACAGATGTAAAGAACAATGTCTAATTCTAGGGCTGAGAGAATACCTAAGGAAGGAGCAAACTTGGAAGAGCTTCTCTCACCAAGGCTGAGATCCAGACTTCTTTGAGGAGTGTGGCTGTGCCCAATGGATGGTGAAGTTTACTGAGTGCTGCAGGCAGTAACTATAAAGCTGGAAGCCACTCACTGGGGACTTGCTGAGAAGCTGCCCACTGGGGTGCTGGCAAGACTCACTGGAAAACTTTCACAGTTGCTCTGGCAAAAGTCTTTGGAAGCGGGTGCACCACTGGGTCTCCTCAAGCCAGTGGTAGGAGAGCTGCAGTGAGTTGTTGGAGCAAGATATACGGCAACTGAACAAGGAGGAGAAACTCTCTTCTCTTGCAGTGTCCTCTATTCTCCCACATATTCTACTGACAATGGCTGACTCACAAAGAGGAACACTTACAGGATCCTACACCAGGGCAAAAACAGTGGATTTGGAGCTAAGAGGCAATATATCAATATAATTCACACAGTGGCAATGTATGTGTATGTATCTCAAGATTATGAAGAGTTGCCCATTTTCCTCTTATCTTCAGGCTATAAAGTATCAGAATAAAAGTTATCTGCGGTGAGTTGAAAACCTGTTTTCCAATTATTGCATTAAGGCACGTGTTATTTATATCTATAGCTCCTTTTCTCAACTCAGTAGCACACTTCTAGGTTTTCTCCATGGGGCTTAGATGGCTGTATTTATTGGCTTGGGGTAATGAAGTGGGAATTGAACAAAACTTCAGTTTCAGTAATTATACCTGTTTGCCTGTACTATCCCTTATATATTGCTCCTTCCACTTGAATCTGCTATATACTTACCCTGAATTCCCCATAGTATCTGGCAAATGGTACTTAGGAAATTTTTTAAAAATTGAATCAGATCCAAATGAAGAGTAAGTGATGAAAACCACAAGCTTTGGAGTCAGACAGACCCATTCAATTTCTAGATCTTTCACTTAGGTTTTGTGTGACCCTGAGTACATTACTAATATCTAACTTTTTTAGCCACAGTTTTTCCATCCATAAAATGAGGATTATAAAACCTTTCCCCTATGGTTGCTGTGAGTATTAAATGTGGCTACCTATAAAAACTGTAGCTTGGCACATAATAAGTCCTTGACAAATGGAAGCTATTATTAGTAGAGGGAATTTCAAGTTGCATTGATTCTTAAAATGAATGAAAAGATGACAGATTCTTGGGTACAGCCTCAAAGCTGTGCTCTCCTAAAATACGATTTCAGAAAATGAAAGAGCAAAAACACAGGGACCTCAAGGAGAGAACTAAATTCTTGATGAATGACTACTAAAACTAAGAAATTCATTCCACGAAGGTAATAAAAACAATGAATTTAAAAACTGAATAATCAGATCTGGTTTGTATTTCATCAGACTGTGCTATAGACCAAATCTGTTTTACTGTCTCATTTATGTGACAGATGGTGTGACAACTTATTGAGCTGATAAATTGTTTTCAGTTATTTAATCACAGTGCAATCATCTTACTGTATTTCTACTCCCTTAATTTGAAACAGATTCGACCCTTTGTTCAGCTGGCTTCCTGTACATGCAACACCAGTCAGCAGACTGGGCTGTCCCCTTCAGTCTACTTGTTCATGCTAGACTCTTGGAGACAACAGCATGCTTATGTCACAAGCCACTTCTGTCATGGCAGGATTTGTGTTTCTCCTCAGGTTAATAATATCTGATGGAGGCACCAGGTCTCCTTTCCTTAAAAGCAAGGGGTCTGAATACCAGTTTAGGAAGAGGTGCTTCAAAGATCAAAACCAGGCCTGTGACAGTGACATGTGAGTTCGTGAATTGGAAATGGCAGTGTCAAATCTCTCCTAAACAAGGAAATAGCCCCTGGCCAGCAGAAAAGGAACATGGAATATTGCTGGCCCCAATTAGAGAGGCAAGTTTTGTAAAAGGTAGCCACATTCACTGACATTTTTTTTTCTAATGTAGTTCTGTACGGACTATTGGAAAAATAAACTAGGAAAAACAGGGAAAATGTGAACTTACAGGTTGATGGGCAACTTCAGAGATAAGAGCACAAATACATGGCTTTCAACTTTATGATGAGAGATGTTTTGCTTTAGGTAGGCTGAATATGCATAATTTCTAACTGAGATAACTTGCAAACAGGAGCGAAGAACTGCAACTCAAGTTTGGTAAGTTAAGAATAATAATAGTTATGCTTATTTGGAGACTTTAATAATCATTATTATTATTTAGTATTACGTGACACTTATTAGTACTTATATGTGCCAAGCAGTCATACATATTGATCTATTTATCCTCATTAAAACCATGCTGCAACTTGTCACTAATCAATTATTCAATAATATATTGAATAAACATTTATGTAACACCTACTATACTTCAGATACTCAATCCTTTTTCGTTCTCACAGCACTAAGAGATGGGTATAATCATCAACTTACCCAGATCCTCTAAGAGGCTAAATAATTTGTCATGGCTGTGCAGCTAGTGGGTGTTAGAAATAGTTTCAAGTCCATGCCTAGCTCAAAATTGTCCTTTTTTTCTGGCTACCTCTCAACCTATGGCTGCTATCCCTTTGCTTTGGCCACCCATTAATAGGGAGCCCTCACCAAAGTTCCCAACTTCTCTTAGGCTTCATCTCCTCATTTGCATAATTATCATCATATGTACCACATAGGCTTGTTGTGAAGTTAAATGAGGTAAAATATAAACTTTCTTAGAACACTGATTAAAACACAAGTATATTTTGGTTGAATGAAGTCAAAGTGTGTTTCTTTTTTTATTAGGGGTTTCAGTCCACTGACAGAGTGTAGTAGCTTAATTATTTTCTTCGTCAGGATTTAAATAATGTATAGTCTAATTTTTAGTTATTTTTAAACCAATGTTCCGCATTTACCCAGTGCCGTTTTGTTTTGTTTTGTTTCGTTTTGTTTTGTTTTGTTTTGTTTGAGACGGAGTCTCGCTCTGTCACCCATGCTGGAGTGCAGTGGCGCGATCTTGGCTCACTGCAACCTCTGCCTCCTGGTTCAAGCGATTCTCCTGCCTCTGCCTCCCAAGTAACTGGAATTACAGGTGCGTGCCAACACGCCCAGCTAATTTTTGTATTTTTAGTAGAGATGGGTTTCACCATGTTGGTCAGACTAGTGCCTTTTTTAAAATACACCCAAACCTAGTAGGAACATGCAGAGAAATAGCAAGGTTACATTTTTTAAAAATCCAAAACCAATTATTTCTTATGTTAGCTTTCCATTCAACTCCAGATCTTTTCATTATTCAGAGAATGCTTGTCGAATTAAGGTCCTTGACTTTCTCTCTTCTGTAGCCTATGACTTAGGTAGATTTTATAAAAAGAAAAAGTTGAAATTGACTTTTGACTGAATTATGTTCTTAATAGGAGGTTATGCATCTCTACCAAAGAACTTCAGTAGTGCTTGTGAAAGGAAACATCTTCAAATCAAATAGCCAAATATAAAACCAGCCTGAAAGATCATGGCTTTATATCTGTCTTTTAGTTCTTCTCTCAGAGCACAAACTTTCTCTGCCTGTGGTATCAGCAAACAATTTCCTGTCTAAGAGCTGAGGTATGGAGAGGTTATGTAACAAGAAGCACACTTAAGGAAGTCTTGACCAGTTCCTGTGTTTAGGATCATTTCCATTGTGACTGGGAACCTTCAGAATGGGAAACTTGTTGAAATTTCAGATCTTCATCATGGCTCAGCTTATGGAAAAACCTATCTGGTGTAGTATTAATAAAACTAGAATGATATAACCTTTCCGGCAATTTCATGTCTGTCACCGAACATATTTTACTGAAAATCTGATGAAATCAGTCACAGTTTTTTAAGAAGCAGTATCTGTAAATTAGACTATATCTTATACAACAGTGAAAATTGAGCTACAAGTAGAGTTAGTAAACTTTATTGTTTTCTACCACAGCAATGTCCACAAGCAAGCTAAATTCAATGATCTCTTACTAAACTTTGCCATATTATGGTGGTTTTGTATTATATCAATCTTCTTCATTAAGTAATGATGGGCAGTTACTACCTATGATTACACTTTTTGCTCTCAGAAGGAAAATGAGGCACGTATATATATTCTATTGAAAGATTTTTAAAAGAAAAAATAAACATAGAAGGTGATATGTGTAATAAAAAACAAAAATGCTAAAATATGAGGTGTTTGGACAGTTTGATTCTAATAAAACAGAACCTTCAAAACTGAATATAGTTTATTTTTCTTACTGAATTAAAGGTGTACTAATACTTATGATATTTTCACCATTTGATTCATAGGGACTAGCTAATGACAGTAAAAATATCTGTATATCACACACTCACAAATACAGAAATGTGTGTTACAGTCTCTACCTTGAAAAATTATGTTTTTAGGTTTATGCATTTTAAAATTGTTTATTCATAATATGACTTATCAATAATAAATAATTATAGTTATACTTTGTAAATATATAGGGTCATTGTTGATCAGATGATGAGAAACACTTCCTGGAAGAAAGCAGTAGGTAGGGAAAAAAAAGAAGAGGCTGAAGATATTTTGAAAATTAGATTTCTTTATTTCGACTTATGGTTCCTGAAGACACGCAACTGCACTGGTTTTGGAGGGCAGAATCAGGGTTAATTTATGAAAACTGAAGGAAAGCCTAGCAAACAGAAAAGTTCAAATGAAAGTTGTGGCATTCAAAAAGAAAGCAAAGTACCTAAGAAAACATGATCTAGCTAATTTTAATGTAGTAGAGACCCTACGTATAGAAATACACATTAAAGGCTATCTATATATGCTTTCCTGATACTCCAATAGTATGTTTCTTTCATGTCTGAGGTACATAATAAATACTTTTGAATGAATGAACACAGCAGAATTATAGGCACTAAGTAAGATACCAAGTAACTAGGACACTGGTAATCAGGGTGAATTCTTAATAACTTGTGACAAAAATCCAAAAGCATGGTCCTCTACAACCCTGAATAATTTATCCCAAATTTCATCTACCTTAAAGTTCTTCTCAACATAATGACTTCCATAAAGTTCTGGGATTTGTGCTTTACAAATATCCCTTGTCCTACAGCATCTATCGATTTGTATATTCCTGAATAGCTATAGTGATCTCTTCTTTTGTCCCTGATATTTGATTATCAGGTTACCTCCATAAATAGAGCATGTCTACATAGTACCACAAACTCAATCATGTTGTAACTAAAGTGCTTGCTTAGCCATCAAACAGCTACGGAACTGACAATTACACGAGGAACAATCAGTTTAATTTGGTCCTTTCTAAAACCTGCAGATTCTTCAGTAATTTGTATATAACCATCTTATCTGATCAGTGTTATAAAATATATTGTACAATCATTCACAGTTTTTAAAACCCAGCACTTCATAAATTTCCTATACCTGTTATGTCAAATATAAAAATTATAAATTTGCACCAAAAGCTTCATGGCTTAAAGTGGTATAGAAAATTAATTTTTATTAGTGGAAAAATTGCTTTAAGTAGGTGAGAAGTATTTTCCTGTGAATTGAGGTAATAACCAATTGGAGAAGTTTTAATTTCATTTTACTTGAGCATACTTACCCTAACAAACCTGGTTAAATTGCCCAGGGAGTTATAAAGAAATAATAGGATTAAAAAAAAATTAAAACCCGTAAGAATGAAACATTCTGTTTCCTAAAGTGGGTGTTATCTAATCTCATTCAGTAAAAGAAAAAAGAAAGTTTGACTCTTTCTCAGTAAGGAATCACATAAAACTTAGAAAATATCATTTGAAGCTACGTTCTAACTCTCTACAAGAACACTTGAGAAAGCTTAATGAAAGCTTTAGATTTCAAGGCATAAATATAGACTGAAATGGTTACCAAGGTATATTTATTAGATTTATTATTTCCTTTAAAGAACTCATGTAGCTGTCTAAGATTTATCAAACTGATGGATACCAAGAAAATAATCTATGGTCTTAATTGCCAAGTTCCCAAACCATAAAGAATGATACTGGGATCAGAGGGTAAAAGCCACTCCTTTGATCACAGAGTACAAACATTATAGAATCTTTGCTACCACACAAATACATCTATATGAGGACATTTATTCACATAATGCACAATTGCATTGTTTTGAGTTTCTTCAGAAAATTAAAAGCCCATGTTAATATGTAACTATAGTAATATTGATAAGTACTCTCTGCTTTAAAAAAAATCAGCAGGACGAAACAGATGATCTCTCAGCTATCTCCTTCAGGAAGTTCCACAATTCTATGAAAATTTTAAACCTGGGGAAGAAATTATGTTTTTGTTTTAGCTTAGAAAAATCTTGTATTTTTTGAAATTGATAGCCATAGCTTCACCTGTGAACCATGACTCTGAAATCCATATCTAAAGCCCAAGTTTCTGTCTTTGGAGAAACAGATACATGGATCAGACGAGCCACTGAACATCTCTACTTGGGAGTCCCAAAAAAACCTCAAACTAAAGATCTCTAAAACAGAAGGTATTGCCATCTGTAACCCTACTCAGATTTTGTTTTATTTATTCTTATAGATGATGCTGCTCCTTAGTAACCCAGGGCAAGGACTTTTGGAGCTGTCCTAAATGGCTCTTTACCATCCACTTTCAATGTCTGCAAAAGTTATATAACAAAACAATAATGATTGTTTTAGTGATTGGATGTTCTTCTCATAGTGATTGAAGTTCTTCTTTTGTGCCTTGAAGCTATCAATAAAGCAAGGCATTACAGCAAATCCATCCATTTTTTTCAGGTAAGACCCTCAGTTTTCCCCCAGATTCAAGACAGATTATGTTGATGCTCTTTATCAGCCAGAGGTACAAGATGGAACTGGGAGAAGAAGGGGTGGGTGTCATTTTTGGAGACATGCAGAATGTCTTAGTTTGGGCTACTATAACAAAATGCTATAGACTAGGTGGCTCATAAACAACAGAACTTTCTTTCTCACAGCTCTGAAGGCTGGAAGTCAGACTGAAGGTGCCAGAATAGTATGGTTCTGATGAAGGCTTTCTTTCTGGATTGTAGACAGCAACTTCTCAATGTGTTCTCAGTTTTAAAGGTTCTGATGTTTTGTTACAGCAACACTGTCCAATACAGTTGCTACTGTATTTAGCATATGGAATGTGGCTAGCCCAAATTTAGCATATGGAATGTGGCTAGCTCAAATTGATGGTAAGTATAAAATGCACACCAAGTTTCAAAGATTTATTATGGAAAAAGAAATATAAAACATATTTTTAAAATATTGATTACATATTGAAATGATAATATTTCAGACATATAGGGCTAGATAAGATAAATTACATCTTTTTTTTAATGTGGCTACTGGAAAATTAAAAATTACATTTATGGTTCACATTTTATTTATGTTGGCTTGCCCTCTTTTAGAGTATTCATTTTTTTGGCACACAAAAGTCTGAGTTAATTTAAGACACTTTATTGTCAAAAATGATTGGAGGGAACTAATGTATACCAAATTATAAGACATGGGAAGATGGTCTTCTGGTGGAATTATGAATAACTACATGTCAGTGTTTTTATAAATGTAGCGGATAACATATTCATATGTAAAACAAACAGTTTAGTATTCCTATATTCTTACCTTGTTTCTCTTCATGTAATTTAAACAGCAGCTGAGACATACACTTAACCTCAGAGAAGTGATTACCCAGAGAATCAACAGAACAAAGACTAAATATTTATTTCTTGGGACATGACAAAAGATTTGGGAGGATACCCTATGCATTAAGAGTGAATATGTTTTACCTTTAAAACTAGATAGATAAAGCTAAATAAAGCTTTATCAACCGAGGGATAGTTGAAAAGAAGAGAGAAGAAGAGTAAGAGAGTTTAGATAGCAGCCTGTCACTGAAAGAAAGGGATCTATGTGCTGCATTTCACATAGATCAGCAACCTGGAAGTGGGAAGGGAGAAATAAACAAATTCATACATTGAGGATCTGAGTCTTATGCAAGCAAGGTAGCAACATCTCAGAGTTCTGACTTCAACCCAAATTGTGCTCATGCTGTAGGTTACACATTAAGAGGTGATTTCTGTGGGAACATGGCTTTATTTAGCCCCAGTGTATTTCCAGAGGCCCTAGAACATGGCGTAGAGCATCTGCATGTTTTCCATGCCCTGAAGAAGAACAAAGAAATAATTGAAAGAGATCTGACCAAGGGAAGGCCTAGGAACAAGGGTGAGTGATGTCAAAATAGCAACTAGTGTGAACAGGGAGCCAAGAACAAGTTGGGGTTATGTACATTTCAGTGGAGCATGGAGTAAAAAAGGCCAGATCCTACCCTTCTGACTGCTATGATCTGAATGCTTGTGTTAAAATTCACATGTTGAATCTTAATCCCCAATGCAACAATATTAAGAGGTGGGGCCTTAAAGAAGTGATGAGGTCATGAAGGTGGAGCCCTCATGAATGGGATGAGTGCCCTTATAAAAGAAGCTCACAAGAGATAGCCCCTTTCATCATGTGAGGACCCAGCAAAAAGGTCCCAACTATGAGAAAGTGGCCCTCATCAGACACTAAATCTGTTGACGCCTTGATCTGGGACGTCACAGCCTCCAGAACTATGAGAAATAAACTTCTGTTGCTTATGAGCTACCCAGTTTATGGTATTTTGTTATAACTGCCTGAAACTAACTAGCACAGACTCTAAGAGCTGATTGTTATTTCAAGAGCTCCTGAAATATACATGCAACTAGGGGAGAAAATGAAGGAAGGGAAACTCTGAAACACAAATTAGGTTGTTTGAGAAATATAAAAAAAGGTTATAGTTTAATTTAATTTCATAAGCTCATATCTTCTACCTTATCAAAGAAGTAGAGAGGAACATGAGGCAGTTTAAAATTCTGAAAGATTTGGGGAAGCTTTTATTTAGTTTATTTTGTGAACATTTATAAGTAAGAAAAAGAGATTTCAAAATCAGTTCAGTTAGTCTCTAATTTAATAAGGGCCAATCCTAGCAAGATATTTAGCAGCCTCTCTTTGTCTATCTCTTTGAATCACCATTTCATCCTTTGTACCAGTGTCTACTTTCTTTGAGCACATTCGATGTACAATGTTGTTTTTTCCTTTCGTAATCTCAAGTTTTTACTATTAAAATTTCCAAATAAACAGAAAAATTCAAACACAAGTACAAAGAACATGGTATACATGTCATGTAGATTGAAAAATTAACATACTGCTATATTTATTTTATATATTTCTCTGTATAAGTACACATATTTTTTCTGAAATATTTGAGAATTAATTGCAGTCATGATGCTTTCACACTTAAATTCTTGAAAATAAGGACATTCTGTTATATAACTATAATACTATTAACAAGATAACAAATTAAAAATCCCTTGCTATTATCTAATATTGAATCCATATTCAAATTTTGCCACTTATGCCAAGGATGTGTTTTCTAGATCCTTTTTATCCCCAAATAATTCAATTTAGGTTCATACATTGTGTGAGATGTTGCATCTCTTTGGGATCTTTTAGAGAATAGTTTTCTCTACACACACATCTCTATCATGATACTCACTTTTTGAAAAGTCCAGACCAATTTTCTCATAAAATGTTTCATATTCTGAATTTGTTTTATTGCTTCCTCATTGCATAGTTTAACATGTTGCCCAATCTCTTGTATTTCCCATAAATGAAGCTGTAGATATAAAGGCTTGCTTAGATTCGGAATTAACATTTGTGACAAGAACACATCATAGGTGGTATTTTATTCCTTGTATTTTAAGTGTTTCATATTGCATTGCATCAGGACTGACACAACTTCAGGTTTTACCACCATTTTATCCTTTGGTTAAGGTAGTTACCAAGTGGGGATCTCTCCACTTTACAGACACATTTTCAGCTTTACAATGAGTAAGTCATCTATGAGATTATTTTAGACACCATCTAACTCCATTCCTTCTTCTTCTACTGCTTTGGTTTCTAACCAGTTACTTATCTTGAGGAAGATATTTCTTCTTCCTAAAGCTTCCTTTTTGTTCTATTCATTCACTAAGAAAAAATACAATGTTGTTGTAATGATTCAGTGAAGTAATGCATGTAAAATAGTTTTATAAATCGCAAATGTTGTAAATGTTAAGAATATTTATGTTTATAGTGGGAAGAATAGGAAGCAAAAGCACTTTTATCATCATTGTTGTAGTTTGAGTGTGTTCATTCCCCATAAGAAGGAAACATGCATTTGACTACATGGTTTACTGAGGCATACGTAATAGTTTGCTAGGACTGATATAACCAAATATCGCAGACTGGGTGACTTAAACAATATAAATTTATTTGCTCAGAGTACTGGAGGCAAGTCCAAGATCAAGGTGTTGGGCAAGGTTGGTTTCTTCTTCTGATGCCTCTCTCCTTGGCTTGCAACCAGCCGCCTTCCCACTGTGCCCTCACATGATCTTTCCTCTGTGTGTGCAATCCTGGTGTCTCTTTGAATTTTCTAATCTTTTCTTATAAAGACACCAGTCAGATTGGATTACGGCCCACCCTAAGGGCCCCATTTTAATTCAAAAACCTCATTAAGGACCTTAATTTCAAATAGTCACATTCTGAGGTTCTGGGGCTTAGTACTTCAACATATGAATCTAGGGAGACACAATTCAGGCCATAACAGCACACATTATGTACATTATGTATCACATTATGTACATTAAGTGGACTTAAGTTGTAATATATATTTATAATTCTGTTTCATCAAAGAAATAGTCAACATTTTCATAATGCTAGTCAATACGCAGTACCAAATCATGCCCTCCTTTGTCAAAGCCTTCCAATTCTTTCCGATCTTGCTCAAAAAATACAAGCAAAGTCCTTTTTATGCCCCACAGGGTTCTCAGTCTGGTCTCTTAGCCCGTCTTGTCTCTAGATTTATTTCCTGTTATTCTATCTATCACTTGATCTCTCCACTTCAGTACCCTGAGACACTGTGCCAGATTTCCCTCCTAAGTGTTTATGCACTTGTTCTCCCTCTGCCTGCAATACTTTTCTCCCAATTTCTTTCCTTCCCTCAAGTCTTGTCCACTCAAATATGACCTTTTCATGAGAACTTCCCTGCCCACTAATTCATAGTCTGCCACCCTGACTTTCCTTACTTTTTTTTTTCTCTGTAGCATAGACAAAGACTAATATACCTTAAATTGCATTTACTGATCTTGTTTGTTATTTGTGTTCCCATAAGTATACATACTAGATTTTGTTCTGCTTTATTGACTGATATATCACCTACATTGAGAACAGTGCCTGGCAAATTGCAGAAGCACAATAAACATTTGGAATGAAATGAATGAAATAACATTGAGGCTCAATTTGAATTCATCTTTCAAATCCTCTTATTCTTACTATGAGGAAAGGCAATACAGTGCAGTCTTCAAGAGCACAGGCCTTGGAGGTGGAAAGAATTAGGCAAGAATGCTGGCTACACTGCCTGCCAGTGGTTGTTGTTGGCCAAAAGTTTTTCCCATCTGAGCCTCAGGCTACTCAATGAAATTGAATGTAATTATCTTAAAGGATAATGAGGTTAAATGGGTTAAATAGTTAGCATAGTGATCAATATGTTTTAATGCTAAACCCAAGTCTGGACTGAGAGTGTTAAAATTGGTTAACCAGGTCTGCTTTGGGAAGGATGGAAGTGGTGGCTGTCTTAAATGCCATATGATGACCAGATTCAAATACTCTGTTTTTATTATCCTCAGGTCAAATTATGTCCTGCCCATCCGCCCCCACTCCCACCCCCAGACTTTCATTGCATGGAGATCTTTGAAATCAGTAAAAGAAAATTGTGACAACTTAGGTAGCTTATTTGGTTTCAAAGCTGAAATATGAGTAAAAAAAATCAAGTAAGATTCTTTTCATTATCTTTAATATCTTACCTATTTTTGGTCGTATATTAATTTCACCATCCATTTTTGCCATGCACTTTCACAAGTTTCCTAGAGAATTGTGACTTGGAAGGTATCCTTAAATTATTTAATCTATATTCTCAATTTTTACAAATGACAGAGGTGAAGCCCAGACTGAGGCTTTCTCAAAGACCCACATAGGTTTTGGAAGACCAGGGACAGATCTGAGATATAGAAGAAAGCAAACACATTATGATACAGAAGTTCTGGAAGGTAGGTG
The DNA here is from genome assembly GCF_000001405.40 of Homo sapiens. Lineage (NCBI taxonomy): Eukaryota > Metazoa > Chordata > Mammalia > Primates > Hominidae > Homo > Homo sapiens. Next base: position 52,632,521 of record NC_000010.11, read on the forward strand.
TTTTTCAGTGAGAAAACTGCAGGTTGGATGAGATGATATAACACGGCCACAAGGTCACATAACAGAAGGCTCTCTGCCAGAAAGCTCAGTTTTTTCCATTATACTACTTCGTGTCTTCTTTTTACTAATGAAGAATTCCAATCCCAGTAATGCTGATCTGTGGGATCCTGCTGAGAAGGTGCCTTGTGGCTTAATGGTCTCCTGGTAACAGCCAGTATGGACTAAATGGTGCTCTGTGAAGATTCCTCATGATTTAAATTGACTTGCGTTTGTGAGGCCACATTTGAATTTATAACCTAACAAACTGCCACAGTCTGTTTTGAAAGAACACAATTCACACATGATTCACCCTCTCCTCACAATGCCTACAAAATAATCATTCTTTTAAGGCTTTTATATTTCCTGAGACGAGTTTTCTTCCTCTTGCTTTTTCCTGAACAAGGAAGTACTTATAATCTCACCTCTTAAATTACATTTTAAGGCCTCACAAACCATAGCAAAGGAAGGGACAGAGTCAGCACTAATTTCATAAACTATCTGTAAGGGAATTAATTACAACCTGACTTATTTTTCTTTTAGAAAGAAGTTATAAAGGAATCCCATAAATTTTGAAGGAGGAATAAATTCTTTCTCAGGAGGGGTGAGAGCTGTAGTAAAATGTTAAAATAGCACAAATTAAAGTTGACTGGAATCTCCTGTAAAATGAAGCCAAGCCAAAGGGTAGTAAATATCACTGAAGTTAAAATCAGTATCTTTCCATCAATAAAATTGATTAAAGTATTACATCTAAATATATACTCTATGAGGCATACTGATTCAAGATACACAAAAATTATATATGTCAAGCAGCAGTATTTTGCATTGAATTGAATATGTTTTCTCAAACTTTTAAAAAGAGGAAGTATTTTTTCTGAATAAGCTAATACAGCTTGGAAAAAACATAAATTAAGCTGTTATCTCAAAAGTCGGATCACCTTACTTGCGACAATATGAAATAGAAAATATAAGTATTTCTTAATATTTGTCCTATCAGTATATAAATAAATACAGTGTCATCTCTATGTTTGTCATTTTTTTCTCTCAACTTCTCAATGTTATCTCTTCCTTCCACATGATCACTAGATAGGAATTCAAACTGACTTTGACTTTGAGAAAAATTATCATCTTTGTATCTCCATTGCCAAGAATTGTACCACGCTTACAGCATATTTACTCAAATATATTTCTTAATTGAAAATCTTTAGAAAACTGAATCTGCAAAAGTGATATTTACAATGCCTTCTTAAATAAAATTATTGATTTAAGGTCAGTTGTTTGTCATTATTTAGGGCACTCTCCCCTCTGTGTTATGTAAGTAACTCAGATTCAATTAAATCTTCATGAATGTAATGAACTAATCTTCAATATAATATAAATATCAGAAGTGTTCTTTTGAATCATTGACCTAAAAATGAACCTTATCTTTGCCACTAATTAGCATATTACTTGACTTCTCTGCATTTCAGTTTTCCCATCTATAAAACAGGACAGGTTGGGCATGGTGTTGCATGCCTGTAATCCCAGCACTTTGGGAGGCCGAGGTGGAAGCAGGTGGATCACTTGAGATCAGGAGTTTGAGACCAGCCTGGGGAACATGGTGAAACCCCATCTCTACAAAAAAATGCAAAAATTAGCCATGCGTGGTGGCACACACCTGTAGTCCCAGCTACTTGGGAGGCTCAAGTGGGAGAATCACTTGAGCCTGGGAGGTTGAGGCTACAATGAGCCACAATCATGCCACTGCACTCTAGTCTGGTGACAGAGTGAGGCCCTGTCTCAAAAAAAAAAGTGGGGACAATATTTGTACTCATCCTTATAAAAATGTTGAAAAGATTATATAAGTTAATTCATTGGACACATTTGGAGCAATAATAGACTTTTTTAAAGCAATTAAAGGTTTATTGCAATAATGGTTATGAATATTATTTTTATTTAATAATATTTTGATTTTGGATAAGTTCATCATATCTTTGGACTTCAGCTATATCATGTATTAAAATATAGTGATTGGGTTAAGTTATCATTAATATCCTTTCTAACTCTAAAAGTTAATAGTTATATGACTCTAAAGAAAGTTACTCATGACCTGAAGGATTTATTACATAAATTCTATTCAGATATCTGTACAGTATTCCCCCTCCCCCCACTATTAAAAATAAACCTTTATAGGAATGTTCTACAATAGTTGAAAGTGCACCAGAGAATTTGGGGAGGGATGCACTCAGCTTTTAGTTTTGATCCCTACAATAGCTATTTTGTCATTTTGTCAAGTTACATATATATGACCTATAATTCTCTATTACAAGTGCATTATAAGAAGTAAAGGCCAATCTATCACTTAATATCTATTTTTTTATACTTTAAGTTCTAGAGTACATGTGCACAACGTGCAGGTTTGTTATATAGGTATACATGTGCCATGTTGGTTTGCTGCACCCATCAACTCGTCATTTACATTAGGTATTTCTCCTAATGCTCTCCCTCCCCCAACCACCACTCCCCAACAGGCCCTGGTGTGTGATGTTGCCCTCCCTCTGTCCATGTGTTCTCATTGTTCAACTCCCACTTATGAGTGAGAACGTGCAGTGTTTGGTTTTCTGTCCTTGTAACTGTTTGCTGAGAATGATGGTTTCCAGCTTCATCCATGTCTCTGCAAAGGACATGTTACAAGAGGATTTAATATCTATTAAAAAGTGAGCAATATAATTTAATAGATTTCACAGACTACCCACGAGATTCCAAGAATACTTGTTTTCTACAAACTTCCACAGTATATACTCTAGCAATTGGGTGCCACGGCCAGTACTTCGAATGTTACCAATCAGTCTTAAAATACAAGATGTAATGCTGATTATAAACTATACCATGTTCCCCCAGAAAAACTTCTTTTAAAGTTACCATAAAGAGAAAAAAAGAGGTGTTCCAGAGCGTTTTTCAGCACTTGGTAGACAAAAACACAAGACACAAATTATGTAACCTACAGCAAGTTTTTGGCTAAGTTTGTAACATTGGGTAACCTCTAATTTGCATGTGCTTTCTTTGGATTTTTTAAAAGTATATCCAACTTGGTCTGGTTTTGGAACATCAGCTTTGGAAATCAAACAGTTCTTTTGAAATTCTGACAAGTTCCACCAATGGATTCTGAAGGGTTGGAGCTACACTTTCACACCTCCCTTTGTTTTTCAAACAAATGTCCTTCTGAAAACTAGGGATTTATGATGAGTGATCTCAATGTCTTCTTCCTCTGCCTCATTTGATCCAACATCTAAAAGTACTAAGTGATGTGGTTAGCCATGAGGGTGGATTGGCATCCATAAAAATATTTCATACCCTGAAGTAGGCAAAGTCAATGACTGTGGTTTAGAACTCTCAGTGAAATATGATTTGGCAACATTGTTATTCTGAAATGTTTAATGTTGTTTAACTTGCTTTTTGGTTAATTTTTTATATTCACGTTATGTCTTTCTGTCCTGCAATGGCTTAAATAAACATAAATCTTTTTATTTTATTTGAGACTGCCAAGGTTTGAACACTAAATAGTTTGTTGGTAAACTTTTAAAACTTATAAAATTCTTTTGTATATTCTCTTTTGGAGAAATCCATCAAAAAAAGTGTTTTCTTCTGAATATAAAGTAAAACTACACTCATTTATGTTTAGATAGACACAAAGAAAAACTGGATATTTCATGTTGAGATGGATTTTTTCCTTTCTAAATAATTTCTAAATTTATATTAAAGATTTTATAACTACATTGGCAAATACACAAAATTCAATATCCTCCTGTTTCCTATACTACCCATTTTTTAGAACAATAATTAAATATTTAAAGAAATGAAGAAAACCTGTATTTGTTATTGATGAAATAGTCTATTATAACTTTTTGTAGAATCATATAATGACCTCAATCATGTTACCTTATCCAGCTAAACACATATCTTTTTCTAAAGGCTAAAAGTATTTCTGAGGATAGGCATTATCAGACTAATTTTCCCAGATCTGTGCGTTGTTATTTTAAAACCTAAAAATACTTTGGATATATTGCCAATAGTCTTCATAGCATTTTATTCAAGTATATTCTTGACTAAAATTTTATAAAATTTGGTGTTTATCCATCTTAATAGAGCAGTACAAAATTAGTTTAATTTATACAAAAGTACTAGCTTGGAAATGGACAAAATATTTTATAAATATATTCTACACACAACTCTCCTTTTTTAACTTTTATTTTAGGTTTGGAGGTGCACGTGAAGGTTTGTTACATAGGTAAACTCATGTCACAGGGGTTTGTTGATAACTATTAGGTACTGGGCTTAATACCTGGGTGATGTAATAACCTCTACAACACCCTCCACCTTCAACTAGACCTCAGTGTCTCTTGTTTCCTTCTTTGTGTTCATAAGTTCTCATCATTTAGCTCCCACTTAGGAGTGAGAACATGTGGTATTTAGTTTTCTGTTCATGTATTAGTCTGCTGAGGATAACATCCTCTATTCCTGCAAAAGACATGATCTTGTTCTTTTTCATGGCTGTATAGTATTCCATGGTGTATGTGTACCACATTTTCTTTATTCAATTTGTCATTAATGGGCATTTAGGTTGAATCCATGTCTTAATTATTGTGAATACTGCTACAATGAACATTGTTTTCCCATCCAAATGGTTTCATAGGACTTCTTCTTTCTGAGAGATTGTAGTGCACTGTGATTCCATCCCAGAGTCCCTGAATAGTTCATCACACCCTAGACATCCCCTGCTTCAATCTCTCTGAACAAAACTAACCTGTCCGAGATCCCATTATTTTAGGGTTTCATCCTGCCAAAGTACTTATGGGTGATTGTGTTACACTCATAAATAACACATGCATCTTTTCAGATTTCTAAAGTCAATGCCTTCATTTAGAAGTGGACATAAGTTTCAGATCCTTTTCATGTCAGTTGGTAAGAGAGTTTTGAGCAGGTAAGCTGTTTATTATTTTTAGAATTGCATTCTGTTATTAAACCACTTGCCATTTGTTGTGCATTGATCTACTCTGGAAAGAACAGACATAAATACAGTACTGAGGGTAGGATGGTTTTCCAGAACTACTTGGCTACACTATCCAGGTAATGGATGTCTGAATAACAGGAGACACCCCTCACATGGACTTTGGACTTGGCCCATGTTTACACAAGAGTTTCTCTGTTTCAGGAAGGAAAAGAATGATGTATACATAGCTGGTACTTCAATGAAAAACCAGCCTGTCTAGCCAGTCATTTAGTGAAGTATGCTGTTGAAGCAGTGGGGAGACTTCCAGGCAGCTACTGGTCTAACCTTCTGTAAGCAGTGAATCAACTTTTGGCCAGGCAGTGCCAAAACGGCCAGAAGGTACTGGGTGCTATCTCTTTCACAGACTCTGATTTGTACACAAAATTAAAAGATATATGCAGAGGTTATTTCAATCTTTTTAAGATTTTGAGAGAATAAGGGTATGTATATATTTTTAAGAAAAATTGAACTTGAAAAGAGAGTGAGACATTAGGAACAAAGAAAGCCCTGCAAAGATAGCACAAACAGACTTCGTTATTTTAGATCTCACATTCTGTTTTAGGTTCCACCGCCATGACGATCCATATGTCCCTATAAATACTCAGCATCAGCCGGGCACTATGGGCTCATGCCTGTAATCCCAACACTTTGGGATGCTGAGGTGGGTGGATCACCTGAGGTCAGGAGTTCGAGACTAGCCTGACCAACATGGTGAAACCCCATCTGTACTAAAAATATAAATATTAGCTGAGCATGGTGGCAGATGCCTGTAATCCCAGCCACTCAGTAGGCTGAGGCAGGAGAATCACTTGAACCTGGGAGGTGGAGGTTGCAGTGAGCTGAGATTGCACCATTGCACTCCAGCCTGGACGACAAGAGCGAGACTCCATTTCAAAAGAAAAAAAAAAAGAAAAACAAACAAAAAAAAAACCCTCAGCATCCCATTTTTTCTATATCTCTCTTCCTTACACCTCAGAACATCTTTTCCTTTTATTTTTAAGGCCAGTGTTCTAAAATAGCTAAATATTATTCTCTTGAAATATTCTTCATCTTAGCAAGCTGATTGTTAAGGTAACCTCACAGTTATCCAGATATAAACAAGCAAAATCATTAGGAATGATTTTAGATCAATGATCTTGAGTCTCTAGTTCAAATACATTGGGACTGCCTTAGGAAGGAAAGGGACAGATTTCCCCTTTCTAAAGAGTCCCTAAATTTATATTTTATAACTACATTGGCAAATACACAAAATTTAACTCCCTCCATTTTCCATCTTCATTTTTTGCCATCCCATATCCCATTACTCACCGCACTAACCATCCTTCCTTATCAAATAAGTTTCTTTAGTTTCTCTAGATAAATTACCTTCTAGATTTGTTCTCATTCCCCTTCGTACCAGTTTCTACTTTCTTCAGTTAAAGTCTATCCCAAAGGCCATAAAAGCTTTCTTGATGATCACGGCTCTCAAAAGCCTTTCTATTTCCAAATATCTATGCTTTTATAATCCAGCCCACGCAGGTCAGCCTTTGCCAATGGATTGCTTTGTAATAAGATAACAGCTACCTAGTTGTGAGCTTTCTTTGTTGAAGGTGCTGTCTATGTGCTACACAAAACTATTTCATCCTCCCTGCAATCATACGAAGCAGACATTTTTGAGAAAATAAGGGGCAGAAACTGGAATCCTCCAGAGCAGTTAGGGACAGACTCACGTGCTTGGCCCTCATACTCTCTTGTCACAATCCTCATCCTCTGTTGATATTATATCATCCATAGCACCCAGCAGAAAATTGAAAACTGTGTGTGTGTATTAATAAAAAATAGTGGCTGACTTGATATCAACATTGCATTTGGATATGCAGATTTTTATGTTCTTTCACAATGACCCTGACATCTGAAAAGAAATTTTTTTAAAAAGTAACCATCAAAATTATACTGCAATTCTCCACATCATCACATTTACATGATATCTTAGAGTTCCCAGAATAGCCAAAATGGTTGATATTTGAATTTCCAGGCATTTCTACTTTTAGCCTATATTGCAGATACCATTTTTACATTAATTTTGAACTCCTTCTTTTATCTTTAGCAAGAATTCAAAAGGGTGAGGATGAGGGACAAAAACAGAAATGATGAGAAGATAATTGCATGCTCAACCACACTAGAACAATTGCTCCAAAACCTGATATAGTGAAAAGGATGTCATGAATCATGAGGTAAAAAACAGCTTCAGAGTTAAGTGGCTAACCACAAAAACTGCATGTAAACCAATTAGCCCATGAGAGAGACACAGAGTCCACAAATGCACAGCATGCATTTTTTTTAAACCACTTACCTAGGAAGGAGAGATAGTAATTGCAAAAATGAGATTATGAAAGTGCTTACTCTGTGACTGTATCAAGAGATGCTGGCAAGGTGCTAACTGTGCCAAGAATAAAATATAAAAATAAAAATATGGGCGATTACATACTCCAGATAAATATTCGACTTACCGACTAGCCCCAAAATAATTTCCTTGCCCAAATTAAGTCCAGAGGTATTTTCAGTATTATGATAGTATAAAAAACAAAGCAAAACAAAACAATATTTCTTCCTTTCATTCATCCTTTTTCTTTCCTCCTCCTGACTTGTGCAAGCCTCACCAATGAATTCTAGGGGAGAATGGGTATGTAACATGGATGTGGGCTGTTTGTATAAGAAGGAATTCTGTGAATCTGTTCTATATAAACATTTTTCAGGTAGATGTTCAAAGACTTTATATGATGCCAGGGATCCAAATCTTTGACTTTTTAAATATTTCATATGCAGTATTGAGTTTATTAGAAAACTAATGAAGTGAAGTACTGATACCTTAATGAGAAAATGAACACAACTTACTATTATTATCAACATAGCAACCGCTGACATAAAATCTACCCCCCCCCGACCCTATTTTTACAAATCCAATACCATTTAAGGAATGATTGGATTAATATTTCCCTTTTCTTTGAAAATATTTTAAAACACAGTTGGATCTCATTTTTTATAGCATTTTATTTTTTGGCTTGGCAAAAGTTCACACTTGCAATAGGAGATTATATGACATTTGCAAATATTGTTCCAAAAGGAAACTCCAAAGTGTTGGAAAGCATTCATTCTAGTTATTTAGCTACACAATGTGAATTTTTTTTAATGATGGAATTATAATTGTATGCAAATGGAATATAGGTTTATGGATTACCCCAAATACATACAATACTATAGTAGGTTTTATATGTTGATTAGTACTCAAGAAAATTTGCCTTTTAGTATTCATCTGTGATAATGATTTTCTTCAGTTACTGGCTGTATATATAACAAGGATTACAAGAAGTAGAAATTAAATATATATTCCATCTAAACTATAATATATTTTTATTTTTAATTTCAATTGGACTTAGACAACTTAGTCATTTGATTTACAAATAATTCTGCATGGGGAAAGTCTTTAGATATAATTTACTACAAGAGAAAGTGACCAACCATGTGATTTTAAAAATTATGCATAAATTTGTATGTTGAAAGATTAAATTTTATTTTAAGCCACTTATGAAAGATGTAAAATACAATTTTGCATTCTGAGATTTGTCTGTTTGCTTGCTTTTTGTTATTTTGGAATCATACCATATGAGAAATTTCAAGGGCAAGTAATTTTTTGAGGAAATAAGTAAAAATAAGTTCAAAAAACATTTTCAATGTAAATACAGAAGGTAACCACTTTAAAAGTATGTTGATAAACTTCATTTATAAGTTAACAGTGTGAAAGTTGGTACATGGCAAAGTTGACTAAAAATGCTAAATTTGACACATTAGAACTAATAGTAAAAAAGGGACATTTTTAAGTACTGTTTAACATTTATTTTCTAATTTGTGAACTTCTTAGTTAATTTGGAAACTCTTTAGTTATTTCACGTAATAAATATTTTAAAATTTATTTCAAGATTATTGATAAATTTTTTAAAATCTTACAAATATTGCCTACATGGTGATGACATTTGTGTGGAAAAAAGGTAAATTAAAACAAAACTATATACTTATTTACTGTAGGAAGAGTCTTCAAAAAATTCATAAAAAAATGCATATTATTTTAAAAATAAGGCATGGAGTTTTAAGATTTTTTGCACCAAAATAAACTCATATTAACTAGTTATAACATATCTGAAGAGGATCTAGTTTGAAGCACTAAGAAGGATAAGATATCAGTGTGAAAAAAGCCCCTATCAGAGCAACATAACTTATGCTAAAATATAAACAAGAACAAACAAATTTATGTTGAAGCTCGGGTGGAAGAATGATGAAATCATTGCTATTTTACCAAAAGTTTATGGGGATAATGCCCCAAATAAATAATCAGTTTATAAGTGGATAACCTGCTTTAAGAAGGAACTAGATGATGTTGAAGATGAAGCCCACAGCAGCAGACCATCCACATCAATTTTTGAGGAAAAAAAAAACAATCACCTTGTTTGGGTCCTAACTAACAAAGACTGACAACAGCAGAAACATTAGCCAACAACATAAACATCTCAATTGTTCAGTTTATGCAATTCTGACTGAAAAACTAATTGAGCACACTTTCCACTCAATCGGTACTAAAACCAATGCACCCAAAACAGATGCAGACAAGAGCAGAGCTTTCAGCAGAAATTTTAAACAAACAGGATCAAGACCCTAAAGCGTTTCTTCGAAGATTTGCAACAGAAGATGGAATGTGGCTTTACCAGTATGATCCTGAAGACAAAGCACAAACAAAGCAATGGCTACCAAGAGGTGGAAGTGGTCCAGTCACAGCAAAAGCAGACTGATCAAGAGCAAAGGTCATGGCAACAATTTCTGCGGATGCTCAAGGCATTTTGCTTGTTGACTTTCTAAAGGGTCAAAGAACAATGAATATCTGCTTATTCTGCGAGAGTTTTGAGAAAGCCAAAGAGCAGAAAAATGCCCAGGAAAGCTTCACCAGAGAATCCTCTCATCAAACAAGGGCAATTTTGTGAGCATTTCAATGGGAAATCATGAGGCGTTCACCCTACAGTTGTGATTTGGCTTCTTCTGACAGGAATGGACTAAGTGGCTGATTTTTTTTCCTTTCAAGGGTGTCTGGAACTTTATGGAGCTTATGTTGAGAAACAAAGTTTATGTTTTTATTTTTATCTTTTAATTCCATTTTCCACAAACTCTTTTAAGTCTTTCCACATAAGCATAAATAAATATGTGACAGAATAACATCTCAAAATAATAATCCTTTGGATTATTTATATTTGTCTCTCTTAATCCCCAAGGCATTCTCAGCCCATAGGGAAACAGAAGCAGAAATTCAAAGAAACTGCTGACCTATATCCAGGTCAGAAAGGTTTGGATTCATGCTTGAAGAGACCAATGTCTGCTCATAAAGTCTAGTTAAACTGGGTCTAGACAGAAAGGATCAAGAAGATGAGAGTCCTCAAATTTAAAGGAGGAAGGCTGTCAATGGGACCAACGAGTGGAGTGGAAGGGCCTTGGACTACGCTTTTTTTTTTTTTAGGCAGAGTCTCACTCTGTTGCCCAGGCTGGAGTACAGTGGTGCGATATTGGCTCACGGCAACCTCCGCCTCCCGGGTTCAAGCGATTCTCCTGCCTCAGTCTCCTGAGTAGCTGGGATTACAGGTGCATGCCACCACGCTGGACTAATTTTGTATTTTTAGTAGAGACACGGTTTCACCATGTTGGTCAGGCTAGTCTCAAACTCCTGATCTAGTGATCTGCCTGCCTCAGCCTCCCAAAGTGCTGGGATTACAGGCATGAGCCACCGTGCCCAGCCTGGACTGCACTTCTATGCTGATGGCAGATCCCTGCCATCCATCTCTTGGGGACATTTGTAAGTGGCTATTACAGGGTCAGAGAATTGGACACCATGTGTGAGAATGACCAAGAAAGAAGTGTCCAGAATAAGTTAGGAATTTTTTAAACACAATGGAAAAACGCATAGGAAAAGACTTAGAAAAAAATATATACCAAAGGGATAGTCTTAATCTCTGGGGCAGCTAGTGGATTTGTAGGAGAAGGGAGTCAAAGAGAATTGTTGCATTATCTCTGGTTTAAAAGTTTTACAACAAGAAATTGTTTGTTTAGTATTTGTGTAATTCAAATATTTTTAAATCATTGATTTTTCAAAAGAGGAAGACAAATTGGAATAAGATGTTTTTAATTTTTTGACAGCTAATGATTTTTTTTAAAAGTGATTTTTGCTAGAAGTTAGGGAGCAAATCAGGATTTTTGCTAAGATTCTAAATGGCTCTTCTGGTCATTTCCAGGAGCTTTATACGTTGTGTTCATAACATTTAACTTCATGTCAAAACAAATCAGGCTAGGCATGGTGCCTCACGCCTGTAACACCAACACTTTGGGAGGCCAAGGCAAGAGGATGGCTTGAGCTCACAAGTTCCAAACAAGAGCCTGGACAACATAGGGAAACCCCATCTCTCCAAAAAAAAAAAAAAAAAAAAAAGCAAAAGCTGAGCTTGATGTGATGGTGCACACCAATAGTCCCAGATACTTGAAAGGCTGGGACTTTCAAGTCCTTTTTGAGGTGGGGAGATTGCTTGAGGCAGGGAGTTCAAGGCTACAGTGAGCCATAATCGCGCTACTGAACTCCAGCCCGAGCGGCAGAACAAGACTCTCAAAACACAAATTTTTTTTTTTTTAAAAAAAAGCAAATCAATTTCCTTTTCACTGAAATAGTCATATTTCTTATCACTTGCAATAATAAGACATTTGTCAGATATGATTTGGATTGATTTGAGGGAGGTGGAAAAATAACCAAAATTGGAAGAGAAGAGGGGAAGTATGAAGGTAGCTACAAAGGATGTGTGCATGTGTATAATGATAGCTGCCATTTGTTAGCATGAATTGAGCATTTTTTGTATGCTAGCCACTAGATTTTTTAGCACAGTACATACATGAATTACATGACTCATTCTCTAAAACAACTTTAGGAGGTAGGAGTTATTACTATCGTTTTACAAATTAGGCATTTGAAGGACAAAATGTTAAGCAGCTTGTCCAAGGCCACAGAGCTGGTGAGGGGTGGAGAGGAGAAGTGAGCTCTAGAGTTATACTTTTAGCCACCACACTATGATTCTTTCAGTGTATGTGATGACAATTGGCAGAGAAGGAATTAACCGAGGCCAGGTAGAAAAAGACAAGAGAGAGGCAAGTGGAATGTAGAAAGTTAAGTAGGCAATCAATTTTGTATTAGATGGTTCCTTACACTACCACCAGGTGGCAGTGGCAGCTCAGGACAGATTAATTATTGTCTGGAGCAAGAGGGTTCAACAATAGGCCTCAGCGTGGATATGGAATACTGAAACTGTACCACCTCTGTTCAAATGTATGAGATGTTTGCAAGTCAAATGTAACTCTTCAAGGAACCTTCCTGATTCTGGCTTAAGACAAGAGTTAAGAATTAATATTCTCATTAATTCTATATGACCTCAAAATTTGTCATTGTGATTAATACCATTATCTTGATAAGGATGCAGTCCTCTGCCAAGTATACATATACCAGTTTATTAAAACATTTTCCTTTTTCTCCAGGGTCATTACAAAAAAGATGGCAATGCAACTCAAGATTAAAGTAAAATGGTAATTTGCACAAATAATTGTGTCACTGGTCTATAATTAGATGATATTTAGCAAGGAAATCTAGGATTACTGAGTCCTGTTTCTGCCTAACAACTCTGACCCGGTGAAGTTCCTGAGACAAAAAGTCACAAGAGGCGAATGCAAATGATAAACAAGTCCCTCCTCCCTTCTTTGAAGGTTAACTAGCTGCTAATCACCCCCAATTTCGAGCTTGCTGGAAAACTGAACATTTGCCAATTATTTGGTCTCAAGGACTAAGTGGAGCTCTGCCTTCATTTAAGCCCCTATTTTTTCCACGAATTGGTTGCCAAGATGAGCTGCATGAGCTTGTCTAAAAGTCTAAATTCCTCTGACCCTCTGTGAGCAGATGAGAGCTCAGGATGGCTGGCCTGCTTTCAGGGGCTGTGCTCTGGGTCACTTTTCCCTATGGAGATAGGAAAACAGCAGAAAATGTAGGGGCAAGAGCTAAGAAAGAGAGCCACACCAATGTACAGGAACATTCAGCACAGAATGATCTTGAGACTAGTAAATTGTGGTCTAATCAGTTCTGGAAGCTGCTTCCATCAAAGTAACAACTCCAGGGCCAGGCGCAGTGGCTCACTCCTATAATCCCAGCACTTTGAGAGGCTGAGGCGGGCAGATCACCTGAGGTCGGGAGTTCAAGACCAGCCTGGCCAACATGGCGAAACCCTGTCTCTACTGAAAATAAAAAAATTAGCCGGGCGTGGTGGCGCATGCCTGTAATCCCAGCTACTTGGGAGGCTGATGCAGGAGACTGGCTTGAACCCGGGAGGTGGAGGTGCAGTGAGCCGAGATCATGCCACTGCACTCCAGCCCGGGCGACAAGAGAGAAACTCCGTCTCAAAAAAAACAAAAACAAAAAACACCTCAACAATTTGGTAGGCAGGCAGCAGGAAGTGGAGAGAGGGGAGTGAGAATTATGCCCCTCCCCCATCACACATAAAATACAGATAACAATATGCATTTTTTATCTTCTTCTGGGTTTGAGCCATTAGCCATAAGCAACTATTGAGCACTTAAAAATATGACTGAGGAATTGTAGAGACTGAGAAACTGAATTTTTTATTTGATTTGATTTTAAGTAACTTAAATTTAAAAACTTAAGCAGTGTAAAATATTTTTTCTGTTCAATATAGCTTTATTGTTTTGGTAGAACTATGTTTCACTTTAACTATAGTGCATTTTGTCTGCATCAATGGATTTGATGCAGTTGAGATGATTTTTGTAATGTGTTTATGTGAATTTTTTATGCAGGCAGCAGGAGTCACAGTGATACTTATATAAATTATAATTGTTAATTAAGCTGAAATATTTTAAGGATATTGTAATTAAATTTTTTTTAGTTAAAATTAGTAAAAGCAAATTTCAAATATAAAATAAAGGAATGCATCAGATGCAGAATCAGTTGAAAATGAAGATGCTAGTATTTTGATAGACACAGTAAAAAGAAAAAGAAAAACATAGGTCAAATAGTAATGATGAGGGGCAATTATGCTTTGTTGTCATATCAAAACAAAAAGCTGCTTGCTCGTGTAAAAAAATTAAGATAATAAAGTGGACAGTGTTTAGGAGATGTGTAGTAAGTTTGATAATTTTTTTCTCAACAGTCATAAAAATTTGCAAACTTAGTCACATAAAAAAATTATAATTCAATCTTTAAAGAAAAATGTTTAAATAATTTTTTAACAGAATCTGAGTTGGACAAGTCATAAAACGGTTTGAATTCCTGAACAAAAAGAGAAAATCATTTTTAGATACAAGGTAAAATAAATTGTGTTGTTTCATGGGCCAGGCACAGTTGCTCACACCTGTAATCTCTGCACTTTGGAAGGAATAGGTGGGAGGATTGCTTGAGGACAGGACTTCCAGGCTGCAGTGAGCTATGATCATGCCACTGCACTCCAGCCTGGGTGGGTGACGGAGCCAGAGCCTGTCTAAAAAAAAAAAAAAAAAATACACATTGTTTCAATTATGATAATTTTCTTAGATAATTATAAGAAAAAAATCTAAAAAAGATATTTTATAAAAAGTGAAAGATCTTCAATTAAAATAGCAATTACTAGTAGAATGTACTCTTTCTAGAAATATTAAAAATAAATTAATTTAAAAATTTTAAAAATTGAAAGTCTTTTATTTTTTAGCTTTAGATGAGTCATAAAATATAAGAGAGACTGCGCAATCAATACCATTGGTACAATTGTTTCAACCTTCAAATTTATAAAGAAATGCTGTCAACCCATGACCTATTAAATTAATTTGTGGTATAGACACATACTTTGGACTTTCACCATAAGGAAAAATTTTAAATAGATCTGGAAAAATCAGTTTTTATCTCAATAGACTCCAGCCACATTAAATAAAAATGTGAATATACAGGAATTTTAAAACAAGAGATGGATGTTTTCCTTATTTTTTCATCCCACTGTAAAATGCACATTGGAAATATTTGTGCTCTACTTTCTAAGAGATTGAAAATTGTCATAAATGCAATCGTTAAAATCATTCAAATTTAAATTCAAAGGCCATGAATTATTGCTAATTAGAAAAGACAATGGGACCAAGCATAGTGGCTCATGCCTATAATCCCAGCACTTTGGGAGGCCCAGGTGGGAGGATCATTTGAGGTCAGGAGTTCAAGACCAGCCTGGGCAACATGACAAGACCCTGTCTCTACACACACAAAATTTAAACTTAGCCAAGCATGGTAGCATGCACCTGTAGTCCTAGCTTCTTGGGAAGCTGAGGTGGGAAGATTGCTTGAGCCCAGGAGTTCAAGGTTGCAGTGAGTTGTGATCGTGCCACTGCACTCCAGCCTGGGCAACAGAGTGACATCCTGTCTCTAAAAAAAAACAATACAGATTCAATAATCTTGTGTTCTTTGTTAATGTCCATTAAATGAGTCATGGAAGAACTTTACAAAGATTTACTGTATACTTCAAATCAAGATTTTTTTGAAACCAAAAGAAACAAAAGATGAAAATAGCAGGGCAAATTGTGTTTTCTCACTTAATATTACACTTCATAAAAATAAACTTGAAGCTCCAAGAAAAGGAAAACTCTTTTGTGACCTAACTAAGCAGGTTTGAGAATTTATGTTAAAATGGAAGTGTTGCAAAATACAAATCAATAGTAATTATTTTATACATTTTTCTGATATGAAACAATATACAGAAGATTTTAATTGTAATCATCATACTGGGTTTGGCTGCAAAAAGTACAAAAAATGTAAGAAACACTTTGTTGATACAGACAAAATTTTAGAGTTTCTTTTCAATTTATGAAATGCCTACTTTGAATTTGATAATACTGAGTTGACACAAGAGTTAATGAATTTACTTAACTTGGATATACATAGTTTGAAACTGATGCAGTTTTGCTTCAAAGGAAAATCAATTATTCTAAAGAATGATAAACCTATTTTGCAAATTAGATGTGACTGTTAAAGAAAATGATTTTTTGTTGCTCATTTCAGTTAGTGGAAAACGTTTAAGTATATTTGGAAAAGCATAGGTAGTTGAATCTACTTTTTCAACTGTAAATCTTATGAAATGTAATTCCTGATCACATATTTCCAGTGAAAATTTAGCTCCCATACAATATGTATTATAGCCTATAGGTGTTGTAGACACACGAGATTTCAAAAATGTAGTCCCAAATAATGTAAAATATCCCATTAATATTTTTTAATGTTGATAATTTGTTCAAATGATGTTTTTGATGCATTGAATTGAATAACGTATAGCACTAAAATTAATTTCACCTGCTTCTTCTATTTTTGTACTTACTATAAAATTCAAAATTACCTACATGGCTCACATTGTCCTATTGAACAACATTAAGGTAGACCATGTTCAGAATTACTTGGAGAGTTTTACTGAACTCTGAAGGATTTCAGAATCAAATTTTGCCCTAAAGCTCTTACAATGTTTGGCTCCAGAGTACAACCTCAAAATGAAAGAAAATGTGATATATATTTCCCCCCTTGCAGGATGCTTTTCTTGTTTCTTACAGTCCTTAAGTATTGTTTACCTAATATCTGGTATATGGTATCTGTATTAGTCCTATAAGACACATCTTTCTTAAATTTGTAACTGTCCCTTCATCTCACAGTTTTCTAATGACCTTCTACAGAAAGCCTTAAACCCAACATCTGCCTTCCCCAGAAATCTTATCTTTTTTCCATCCAAGTCCCAAAAAGCTACTACTGCCCTCATTTTCTTTTACCTTCTCCATTGCACACACATCTGCTAATGCTAATTGGCTTTCTTTAAGATCTCCTAGAGGGAATCAGACATTCTAACCCACAGAGAGGTTATCATTTCGTTCATCTGGTTCTGCAAACATTAAGAAGTTACTATCTACTTACTGAAAGACATGTTGCCTCATCTTTGTATAAACTTACAAAAAGGAAAGAAAACCCAGTGGGTTCATGCTTTCTTTGCTTCCAATTTGTGGCTCAGAAAAAAATCAAAATTATTGTAGAACATGAGTCCAAAAGCTAAACAAAATAGACATATTTATCAGACAAGGACTGATTTAGAAAGTGTTTTTGAAGATTAGCATGCAGAGGGAGACAAAGTTTAATGTTAAAAAGCATGCTCTGCAAGACTGAAATGTTATTTAAGAAATTAAGTTTGAAATTGTTTTAATTAGTATACATGTGGAAACAATAGAAATCCACCAACTAGAAAATATATCCATCCAATCCTGAATGTGCCCAGGCATTTTATGAATCATTTTATGTTAGAATTCCAAGAAAGAGAATATTATAACTCTTTAGTAACAGCAAATTTATCCTATAATTACTTTCTCTCTTTCTATTCCCTTGTTTATGTGCCCCTTATAATGTGAGCATCACTGGATATGATTGCAGAGTTTGAAGATACATCTTTTTCATACAGCATTTCCCCTATTTCTGGAGTAAAAATTGGTTATCAGACTAACTGAAAGATACTATATTTGGAGCTTTTCATAGAGTAAAAAATAAATTATTTTATGAGCAACTTAAAGAATTTTCAAGAATAACTTTTATAAATGCAGCGTTTGCCTTAAGTACTAATTTCAGAATCTAACTTTGACTGAAATGAGACTCTGCTAGATTAGTCAAAATCTGCCTCTTGACTATTTCTCTTCATTAGCTGTGAGTTTTTTAGCTTAGAGTCATTAAATCTCTTTTTCTCTTACACAGAAGTGAGAGGGACACCTGAAATCCTAGGCCTGGGAGGGGTGGAGGCCTTTAGCATCACGTAGCTTTGTACAGATTCAAAAAGCACTGGATGACTGTTGAGGGTTTTTGAATAAGCAGTTTAGGTGAGATGATATATTTTTAAGACACCAAACTGATTTTCTCCATTTTTTGTTACCTCGTAATCCTTAATCCAGAGACTCAAATGCCTGTAATTACTTGTAAGAAGATAGAGAATGAAGTCAATTTTCGGTCTGAAAAATTTGATTCAATTTTTTTTTTATCCAGAGCAAGATAATATCTACCAAGTCATGATTTTACTTTTTTTTTAAGAAAAATAGATTTTTTAAATCCTAAAGCTTCCTTTTTACATCAAGGATCGAACTTAGAATTTAAGGCTTAGAGCTTTGCTATGGTACTCTGTGAGGAAAGATAAAAGAGATGGTGTTTCCTTGGGATAGAAAATAGAAATAGAAAACTCTTCAACTTCTGAGATTAGAAAATGAGGGGCTGTAAAAACCAGGTGATTTAGGTGAGGATGAGCAAGCTGCCCAAGGTCCTTTGGGTGAGGTTTAGAGAGAAGAGGCATATGATAGCCTCTGAACTGGATTCTGTATTGTGCAAGGGGAAATCAGAGAACAGCGAAGCTTCTGCTCTGCTTCCTGCATCGTGCAACATGGCGCATAGTGCTGGATCAGTAACAGGCAGAGAAAGGGTCCAGATGTGTAGCCTTGGGACAGAAAACCCCTGGTCTACAGTCTGCACCTGATATGGAAAAGGCCCAGATATTCCAGCATGACCATGTGAGGGAAGAATTATGTGAGTCGAGAATGAAAAGACAGAATAACTAAATAAAATTAGGCATAACTGCCAAGGGGTTATCATGTGCTCGAGGTGTGGAGACCACTGCAAGGTCAACAGCCCCAAGAAAATGGCAATAAGTCTCAGAGAATCAAGGCTGCCAGAAAGAATCAAAGTTCAGAGCCTCACTAGCATGAGGAGTTTGCTGACTTTCATAGAAGCAGTCACTCAGCTCTGTCTACCCAGACAGCACAGACCTTAGCTTTAGAATCCACAGATACTACAGCAAACACATGCAGCAAGGAGAGAGAACAATGCCACGACCTCCCTTTTATTCATCAGTCAGAGTCAGCAGGGCTGGCAGAGGACAAATTGTGGATCATAGCTGTCTTTTACTTCTTCTCACGAGATTGCATGTCCCTAGATACCATCCTAAAAGCATTGAAGAGGTAAGAAATCCAAAATGATTGTTTACCCTTAAGAG
The DNA here is from genome assembly GCF_000001405.40 of Homo sapiens. NCBI lineage: Eukaryota > Metazoa > Chordata > Mammalia > Primates > Hominidae > Homo > Homo sapiens. The sequence goes on from NC_000010.11 coordinate 52,651,712, forward strand.
TGTTTTGTCCGGGCACGGTGGCTCACGCCTGTAATCCCAGCACTTTGGGAGGCCGAGGTGGGCGAATCACGAGGTCAGGAATTCAAGACCAGCCTGGCCAACATGGTGAAACCCCATCTCTCCTAAAAATACAAAAAAAAAAAAATACTACCCAGGCATGGTGGTGCATGCCTGTAGTCCCAGCTACTCAGAAGGCTGAGGCAGGAGAATTGCTTGAACCTGGGAAGTGGAGGTTGCAGTGAGCTGAGATCGTGCCACTGCACTCCAGCCTGGGTGACACAGTTGAGACTCTGTCTCAAAAAAAAAAAAAGAGTGTTTTAACCTGAGAGCCTTTAAAACCACAAGAGACAGAGTTACTGTTCATCAGGTTTTAGGGTTGTTTGTTTGGGATTTTTTTTTTTTTAATCAGCATGATGGAGGGCAAAATAAGGTCAATTATAGAACATAACAAATTACTATTTTTGTACAACTTAATTGGCGTGTGTAAATGTTAACCTGGCTGTAGAAGTATCTGTATGCTGTTCAACCCCCTTCTTTCCTACCTTATACAAACTCTCTCATCAACACAATGTAGAATTTACTTTTTTCACTATCCCTACTGGTAGTAAAGATAATAATATGTACAGAAATTTAGCAGATATGAGTCAAATACAATCAAAATGTTTCTTGAAACATTAGGAGAAATAGGAAGTATTTACATATGAATCAGGCAAGAGTGAAAAAGAAAACCTTATTCTCAAAGAAAAACTGCCACTTTGGATGGTGGTCAACTGGCATGGTTTATTTTGACTACCATCCTCCATGTATTTAATGAATGAGGCAAGCCCGTTGGCTTGTTACAATAACAACTTGGCAGTTAGACATCCTCCTAAACAATGTGCCAGCTTGAGAGGATAATTGACAATGCCACACACTGTGATCATTTATAACCCTGGGGTGTTCTTCTGAGATTTATTTTTAGTTATTTGATGACACAATTTTCCTGATCCACAATATTTTGCTCTTTTCCCCCAACGTTCGTATCTGACCAAACCACAAAATGAATGCTCGATAAATCATCTCATATTCTTGCCACTTAAAAATCTTTTCTGCTTGTTTTCTTAAACTCTCCACTTGTTTGCTGCTCAGATGTACCTCTTATTTTAAGAAGCTAAAGAGGCAAATAGTTTTTAATTGCCCTGCAAATATTTACATCCTATACATCCTGTGATTACAGCAATTACACTTATCAGTTTTCCACCCCCTGCTAAAGTAACCGCAACATTATCATGAGGAAATCATGAAAAAAAAAAAAAAAAAAGCTGCAGCACACTCATTCCACTTTGAATATAATGGAAGAAGAAATGCCCATCCTTCACTAACTTGAACTACAAGATTATTTTCCACCCTCAGGAGGAACTGGTCTTTTCCCACCACTGATGGGCCACCACTGTTGCAGGATTTAAGTGTTACCTCGGAAATACCAAAAAGATAGTTCTATTACAATGTTGTATCCTATAAATACTCGAGTTATGCCTGTAATTGCCTTGAAATACATTGCCTGCTGTGCTTGCTTATGTCCAAGAGCAGGTTAGAAGGTCAGACTCAGACCTTTTGTAGCCTTGATAACTGGCTGTTACATGATTATGAAGTGAGTGGGAGAAGAAGCAATAGTTAATATTTGTGTTTCATTCACCAAAGAAATCCTTCTGGAACTCTTCATGGGATAATGATGAAATTCATTCGATTCATATTTGCATTTAAAGTATTAAGGTTTTTTCAAAAATAAAATATATAGCAAGGGCAGAAATTTTTGCTCGCAAATAGACCTTTCTAGTAATTTCAGTGTCAGATGTTGTATAGACTCTGTGCCTCAGACATTTAATGGCCTTTTCCCTGGACTCTTGCTCTTGGAATAGATTAGATTTAGAATCTGAAAATAGCAATGCCAATGCCAGGCTGGGTGGGGAGTACTGTGTGGTTCTGCCAAAGTACATGATGAGCTGTTCCCTAAGTAACTGGGTCATTTCTGAAATTCACGAGGGAAGAGGCACACTTGTGTTCTGTTTGCATGGAACAACAGTGACATCCAGTGCTAATACCGTTGATGTGAGCCTGAAATAATAACATCACATCGGCTGGTGTGGTGGCTTATGCCTGTAATCCCAGCACTTTGGGAGGCCAATTTGGGTAGATCACCTGAGGTCTGGAGTTCAAGACCAGCCTGGTCAACATGGTGAAATCCCGTCTCTACTAAAAAAATACAAAAATTAGCCAGGTGTGGTGGCAGGTGCCTGTAATCCCAGCTACTTGGGAAGCTGAGGCAGGAGAATCACTTGAACCTAGGAGGCAGAAGTTGCAGTGAGCCGAGATCACGCCATTGCACTCCATCCTGGGCAACAAGAGCAAAACTTTGTTGCAAAGAAAAAATATAATAATAATAATAATAATAATAATAATAATAATAATACCATCACATCATTTCTTGGTAAATGAACAAATACAATGACAAGGGAAATGTGGTTAAGGTTAGTGTCTTCACTAATAGCTGCTAATAACAGAGACAAATGCTATTTAAGGTTAGGGAGAGCATTTACCTAGCACATCCTAGCAGAAAGCAGTGTAGACTTCGTTTCATTTCCAGCCTCACTTCTGGGAAATACTGGCAGGGCACTTGGACCCTCAGCACCCTCTCAGTTTATCTCTTGGTACTCTCTCTTTAGTTTTGCTCCTGTAAGATAGTGGCAGGGCCCTTGAACTTTCAACACTCTCGGTTTATCTCTCAGTACTCTCTTAAGTTTATCTGTAAAATGGAAATAATGATGCCAGTTCACCATTTGACCACAGATGCTTCAAGCTCAGCATAAAGTCATTTGGAGTTGTCTTTTCTCCAGAGGGAAGATAAATATTCAGAGACATCATGAAAGCATGGACATATAGAGGAGCATTTGGACATACAGAGAAGTCCAAATTGCTTGTAATGTTATTGGGACTATTTAAGATTTTATTGCAGATTGTCTTCTTTCTGGAGAGAGTCATTTCTTTGTTCTCTATCATGATTGAGAAGGCCACCTGTGGTCTATCTAGTTCTTCACACAGTGTAGGTGCTTCTTACATTGCCTTGTGTTGGGGAAGACCCACCTTCTGAGCTATAATATAAATTGTTTGTCTATTTGCCTATTTGTTTGACTTTGGCAATAAATATCTCCTCAATAAACGATCCTCTAATCCATCTAGCATTTATTGAATAACTATTACAAGCAAGCATAGTGCTAGGCCCTGCTCATATATTATCTTTAATTTTTACATTATTCAACTAAGGTGGATTCTGCCTTCATTTTATAGGTAAGAAAAGTGCAACTTAGAGGCTCTCAATAATTTGCTCACACTTACAAAACTGGTAAGTGGGAATTGCAGGTTTGCCCTCAGACTTTCTAACACCACTGTGACCTTTGTTCAAAATGGAGTGCAGAATCCTGAGCCACTTGGGTAACATTTCAAGGACCCTTAGAGACTAATAGGTGGGCCTCTCTGTTGGTAAGAACTCTAGTTCACTGAGATTTTTCATTAATACTTTTGCATGTATGTAGCACACGAACTACATGTTTCCAACTGAATTTTAATCTCCTTTACACAACAACTGTAGTTTTATCTTTGTTACCAGGCTGAATATAATTTTGAATACTGTGTTGAGATCCTCCCTTTACATTTGTTTGAGATGGAAAGATGAACCAAACATGGGCCTGTACACAAGTTTTGATCGCTTTTTTTTTCCATTCAAATGCTTTAGGAAGACTGGTGGAATTACGTTTTTTAAGAAAGTGAAGTCATGTGGTAACTTTTATTTGGGTTCTATTCAATTTTGGGTTTTGTAGAAGACAGGGACCAAGTCTTTTGGGTCTTTGATGACCCGTAATACCTAGTTCAATAATTTAGACATCCTAGAGGATCAATAAAAGTTGAATTTGATGACATATTAGGTTTTATTCCGTGAACTTTAGCTAGTAGAGAAAGCACTTTCATTTCCCAGAGGCAGAGAGAAAAGTCTTGATTTATACAGTGCTTCCAGTTCCCATTTTCTCAGATGAATTAGGCTTTGAGCTCTGAAGAATTAACTAGTGTCTGTTTTCCCAGGAAGAGAAACCCAGTAGGAAAACACCTACACTTCAGTCTTAGGGAGGGATCCTGGAAGGACTCAAAGCACCCAATGGAGAAAGAAGGACCTTTGATGGGATCCGAGGCAGAACTGAATATATTTGTGAATATACAGTTTCAGCATAGCAAAAAATGACTTCATGGACCAGAATCTATCTTTTTCTTTCTCAGTAGTATGTGAGACAAAACACAGAAGATACAATTTGAGGCAAGAAAACCATCTTTATTTCTGCTAAACTATGTGAACTCTGAGGACAGGGAGTGTGGCTGTCTTGTTGACGACTGAGTCCAGTAACACAGATCTTAATACCAAGACTAGCATGCAATACTTAGTAAAATTGTTATAGTAGTTAATACGTGAATGAATAAATGAGAGGATAAGTGTTTTGTAGAGAATTGCTTGGAAATACTGGACAGGTCCAGGGTGGAGTTCAGAACAGGAAACATCCAGATAACTGTTCCCAAACACTGCCCAATGAGTAGCCACCAGTCACATGTGGCTATTGACATTTAATTAAATAAAATGAGAAATTTTGTTTCTCAGTCTCGCTAGCCAGATGTATTAGTGACTACCATAAAGTACAGTGCAAATATAGAACATTTCCATCAATACCGAAAGTTCTACTGGATAATGTTACTCTAGGGTACAAGGTTGAAAGAACAAAAGCCAAGCATATCTTAAAAGGTTTTTTTGGTTGTTGTTGTTTGTTTGTTTTTTATAGTATCCATCCCAGCTCACAAGTAAAAATATATTCGGGTTCCTAGGGTTTTAAGGAACTTCTGGAATAAATAATATGCTTTTGGCTGAAGAGCATCATGTATTGTATTTCATGACAGTAATACCTAAAACAAAACCTGTGTTGGGGGAAAAGCTGTAGGGTAGAAAGAAATCTTCAATACCTTCCCTGTTCAGTCCAGTTTCTAGTTATTGGCATAGATTCTAGGGATTCTTAATTATTCCTTTTGGGACTCTGAGGATTGAGAACAAATTTTTACATTAAAAAATAAAAAATAAACTTTTCTTTCATAACAAAAGTTGAAATTTAGAAAATAAAAAATAAATAAAAGTGTAAAAATTAAAATAGCCAATTATCTCCTGAAATAATCATGTTCTAGAATGTATTTATTCTGCCTTTTTTCTATGGACTTTTATTTATAGACATAATACATCATGAACCATTTACCATGTTATTGTTCTTGTACATTCTTAGCAACATGTTTTCCATAATGGTATTTTATTACATTAGGTAGATGTATTACAAATTACTTAACCATATCTTGTTATTAAACATTTAATTAATTGTTTTTCGTCTCATGACAATCTATACATCAAATGTTCTTGCACACAAAGTTTGCATACTTCCTTAAAATTATTTTGAAAGCTGGGAATTCTGGATCAAATTGCAAGCAAAATTTCAAGCCTTTCTCACACGCATTGCCAAATTTGCCCTCTACATTCATGCTTAAGCATGAGTTTGTCCATTGGATTTTTACTAGATGCGTGCTCTGCTAACAAAACCATACGTATAGGATTTGTACTTGACTGTTACTCTTGGGGTTCAACTTGTGGGAAGTGACAAAAGTTAATTTCAGTGGTTAAATGTTAAAATCTTAGATAATGAATAAATAATTATACCTTAGGTATCTTATCTATCATGTTGAAGACTCAAGTCATGCATCTTTAATCAACATCTGCATGAAATTATAGAAATTTTTCCAAAAGTTTAGAGGAAAAAATGGTAACATGGTTATATTTTTGGATTGTTATTGTTACTGTTTGTTTTAACATATAGACAGAATCAAAATGTGATTATTGGTAGAGATGGGGCATTCAAAATGGAAAACATTTATCATTTAATGTTGATGTATTGGGGGTCAGTAAGTGAAAGGGCCTTTTGCAAATAGAAGTTTCTTGGTATCAACAATTGAAAAACTCTTTTCCACCATTACCCTTTTTCTCCAGAATAATATATTAGTTAGCATCTTTGAGTGTCTGCTGACTTTCTTTGATACTTTTCAATCCCGTGGGCAAAATGCCATGCAGATTAGACACAGGGAGAAAATACAATGTTGCCATCTCTTATTTTCAAAGCTCTTTTCAAATAATTTACATCTCCAGTTAATTTTCTAGGTTTACTTTAATGTTTTACTACTAAGATGACATCGTTTTATTATTCTCATAGTGGACTTATTCAAGCCTTGTTTCTTGGGTCCCTTGTGGGCCCTTAACTCTAGTTTAAGTATTTTCCTCAAAGACAATAATTAATAGAATGATTCAGTGTTCCCTTTATGCTAAGTCCCTAATCTAGCGATATTTTCACTCTGGCCATTTTTTTCTGGCACACACTTTAAACAGGCATGGAAGAGAAATTCTTTGGTAAATTAAGTGGGTAAATGCAAAGATTCTGAAGCATTTATCTAGTTTCAAATTTTGACTCTGTACTTACTAATTGCATGACTTCGGGTATATTACTTAACTTCTCTGGCTTCACAGTCCTTATCTGTAAAACTGAATATGTGTCTGGCATATTTCACTTAGCATAACGTCATCCAAGGCCATCCATATTGTGGCAAATGACAAGATCTCTTTCTTTTTAAAGTCTGAATAATATTCCATTGTGTGTGTGTGTGTACATAATTACCTTGTAGGATTTCTAAGATTGTATAAATTAATATTTATAAAGTGCTAACAGTAGTGCTTGCCCCTTTGTATTTTAAAGTATTTGTTAGATAAATAAGGGTCTCTCTTCTTTTTTACTTATTCTGAAATAAATTTTATTTCATGTATTGTGTATATTTAAGGTATAGAACATAATGTTGTAAAATACAAATTTATATTAAAATAGTTATCATAGCGGAACAAATTAACACATCCATCATCTCACATAGTTACCCATTTTTCACCTTGTGGCAAGAACAGCTGTAATCTACTCACTTAACAAAAATACTGAATACAAAACACTATTATTAACTATAGTTTCATGTTGTACATTAGATCTTTGGACAGCCTACATATTTGCTACTTTGCATCCTTTAACTTACATCTCCCCATTCCCCACCAACACTACCCTGGCAAACAATGTTTTTATTCTCTTTCTATCTCTATCTATATGACTTTTTTTTAAATAAAAGATTTTGCATATAAGTGAGATTATGCAATAGTTTTCTTTCTGTGTCTGGCAAATTTCGCTTAGCATAATGTCTTCCAGGTCCATCCATGTTGTGGCAAATGACAAGATCTCTTTCTTTTTAAAGTCTGAATAATATTCCATTGTGTGTGTGTGTGTCCATTAGTGGACAAATAGCATGAATAAAGAAGTTATCTACACAAACACACACACACACACACACACACACACACCCCCCTTAGTTTCCTTATCCATTTGTCCACTGATGGACATCTAGGTTGTTTCTAAGTTGTTTCCATATCTTGGCTACTGTGAATAAGGCTGCAATGAACATGGAAGTGCAGATATCTTTACAAGGAAGTGATTTCATTTCCTTTGGATATATACCCAGAAAAGAAATGCGATTATTCTACTCTTTTTTTTTTTTTTTTTTGAGACAGAACAGCCTCACTGTGTCACCCAGGCTGAAATGCAATGGTGCTGTCTCAGCTCACTGCAATCTTTGCCTCCTGGGTTCAAGCAATTCTCCTGCCTCAGCCTCCTGAGTAGCTGAGATTACAGGAATGTGCCATGATGCCTAGGTAATTTTTGTATTTGTAATAGAGATGGGGTTTCACCATGTTGGCCAGGCTAGTCTCGAACTCCTGACCTCAGGTGATTTGCCCGCCTCGGCCACCCAAAGTGCTGGGATTAGAGGTATGAGCCACTGCACCCGGCATGATTGTCTACTTTTAGCTTCTTTGGGAAACTCTGTTTATTTTATTTATTTATTTATTTGAGATGGAGTTTTGCTCTGTCACCCAGGCTTGAGTGCAATGGTGCGATCTTGGCTCACTGCAACCTCTATCTCTCAGGTTCAAGCGATTCTCCTGCCTCAGCCTCCTCAGTAGTGTGCCAACACGCCTAGCTAATTTTTGTATTTTTAGTAGAGATGGAGTTTTGCTGTGTTAGTCAGGCTGGTCTCGAACTCCTGACCTCAGGTGATCCACCCACTTCAGCCTCCCAAAGTGCTGGGATTACAGGCGTGAGCCACCATGCCCGGCTTGGGAATCTCTATACCGTTTTTCACCACAGCTGCACCAATCTACATTTTCACCAATAATGTACAAGAGTTGCCTTTTCTCCACACCCTCACCAACACTTGTTATCTCTTGCCATTTTGATAATAACTATCCTAACAGGTATAAGGGGGTATCTCATAGTGGCTTTGATTTGCATTTCCCTGATGATTCATAATATTGGCCAAATATTCATGTACTTGTTGGCCAGTTTTATGTCACTTTTGGAGAAATGTTTACTCAAGTCCTTTGCTCATTTTTAAACTTGATTATTTGCTTTGTTGCTATTTAGATGTATGAGTTCTTTAAAAATCTTTGATATTAACCCCTTATCTGATATATGGTTTTGCAAATATTGCTTTCTAATCTATAGGCTACCTTTTCATTTTGTTAATTGTTTTCTTTGCTGTGCAGAAGATTTTTAGTTTGATGGAGTCTCATTTATTTTTGCTTTTATAGCCTGAACTTTTGGTGTGATGTGCAAGCAATCATTGCCAAGGCCAATGTAAAGGAGATTTTCCCCTATATCTTCTTGTAGAAGTTTTGTGATTTCAGGTCTTACATTTAGGTCTTTTATTTGTTTTGAGTTGATTTTTGAATATGGTTTGATAAGGGTCCAATTTCATTCTTTTGCATGTAGAAATTCAGTTTTCCCAGTGCCACTTGTTGAAGAAATGATCCTTTTCCCTTGGTGTATTTTTGATGCCCTTGTCAAAAATTAGCTGGCTATATGTTTGAATTTCTGGACTCCTTTTTGTTCCACTGGTCTATGTAACTGTCTTTATGCCAGTTCCATATTGTTTTGATGACTACAGCTTTGTAAAATGATTTTAAGTCAGAAAGCATGATGCCTCCAACTTTGTTTGTTTTCCTCAGAATTGCTTTGACTATTCAGGACCTTTTGTGATTCTATGCACATTTACGATTTTTTTTTCTATTTCTGTGAATAACGCCATTGGGCTTTGATAGGGATTACATTGAATTTATATATGGTTTTAGGTAGTATGGATATTTAAATGGGAAATCTCTCCTTAAGTCTTTATTTTCATCTGTCAATGTTTTCAGAGCATTTTTGTGTCTTTTCTGCCTACCATTCAGATTGTTATTGCTTTTGTTTCTTTGCAATATATTTCGAATGACTTTTTGAAATCTATAACTTCTACTCTCTTATCTTTGATCAAACATTTAGTATTCTCTTACCAAAACTATCATTGAGACTGAATAATAAAATAAATCATAATGTTAATAATTGGTAACACTATTTGAACACTTAATTATGAACCAGAAATAACACTAAGAACTTTGCTTAAAATCTTTTTTAACTCACGCCTGTAATCCCAACACTTTGGGAGGCCGAGGTGGGAGGATCACGAGGTCAGGAGATCGAGACCATCCTGGCTAACATGGTGAAACCCCGTCTCTACTAAAAATACAAAAAATTAGCCGGGTGCGGTGGCGGGCGCCTGTAGTCCCAGCTACTTGGGAGGCTGAGGCAGGAGAATGGCGTGAACCTTGGAGCTGGAGCCTGCAGTGAGCCGAGATCAGGCCACTGAACTCCAGCCTGGACGACAGAGCGAGAATCCGTCTCAAAAAAAAAAAAAAAAAAAAAACAAAACAAAAAACAAACAAAAAAAAACCTTCTTTAATCCGCACAAAAACCCTATAAAATAAACATGGTGATTATCCCGACATTAAATAAGAGACTTAAGAGATTAAGCCACTTTTCCAAAGTCATACAAGTAGTGGCAGAGCCAGGCTAAGAACTGGATTTTTTGAGTATTTGCTGTCAGCTTCCCCTATTTTATTTGGTTCAATGCCTAGGCAGATGAAAAACTTTAGTTTACCTCTATAGTAGTCATCTCCAGTAAGATGTAGCTTCCCTTTGATGATGATAGCAATATTAACAAAGCAACAATAAAACCATCCACTCTTGACTGACGTATTATTATCAGGTACTGGATTTCATGTAAGCCTGTCAGTGTTTTTATTTGCTGTTTATTTCATTTCTATTTTATGGGTAAAGTAGTTAGATTAAGTTATGACCCCTAGATTGTACATCTAGTAAGTGAACAGAGGCAGAATTTGTTACACAGATCCTGTCTGTTTTCAAGTTTTTATGCCAAGCTGTCTCACCTGGGTTCCTCTGTTCCACACAGATTGAAAAAATAAATAGTCCTAATGAATATACATTAATGTATCTGTGCTTATTCAGCCAGATTAGGAGGAATCTAGAGGCAGATCTTCTCAAATTGAAACACTGTTTCAGTAGATCACAAGTTTTGCTAATGAGGGATATGCTGTTGTGCTTTTTCTATTGAAGAGTGCAAAAATCAAGGAAACAAAGCATCCAACTGCAGGGGGCCAATCTTTGCCGTTACAGTAAGGGGGAAGGGTGAAAGACTATAGATCTAGTTTATTGTTGTCTTTGAAGTATTAATATTCATCCTTTACTACTGAAAATGCTTGTGAAGCTCTGTCACTCTAATTTAAAGATGCTTTTGAAGAGGGCTCCACACTGTCTGCTCTAAAATGGGACCTTGCTATTCCTATTTGTAAACTGTCAGCATGAGGCAGGAACTATCCATCAGTAAGATTTACTTTTACAGAAATATAAAGTGATTGGAATACCCCAAGCATCTATAAGTCTAACTTCTTTCATTGTTCTCATTTTCTTTTCCCTGTGCTTTATGAAAACAGCATAGCATTCTCTGGGGGGTGTCCATTCATTGTTTGGTTGATTTTCAATTCTTAGATGATTTATTCAAATGCCGTATTTGCAGAATCAATTCAGGAATATAGGTTCTAACAGAATCAAACAGCATTATAAAAAATTGTTCTCCCCCACCTTTAAACATTTCTATAATATTCTGAATGAATGCCTTCTAGTTACTACTCCCATTTCAATGCATTAGAGAGCCAGAAGATGAACTCCATGTTATCTTAAACAAGGATTCACATCTTGCTAATTATTTGGTATCTCCATTTCACATGTGGTCTCTCAGTATTTCCAAATGTGGGATAAATTTTTTGGTCACTTATGATGCAGTCTCCCAAAAGCACTCATTTGCAGACTGTGCCAGCAGAGTGGCAAGGAAACACTGAGCAATGAGTTTTAGAAATGAAGAAAACTGAGAGGCTCAATATTGGTAATTATAGGTCACCACTGAAACTTGGATCCACAAAGGCTTATCTTGACTCACTTCAAACATCTCTTAGACTCAAAGTGTGTTGCTTATGAGAACCATATATTTCAGGAAGTACAGCAGCCTTTGAATTGGCTCCGTGTGATCTCCTCACAACCTTTCTAAATCAGACAGCCAAGTGCAAAGCTAATCCAACTGAAACATTTCTCATGTACAGAGAGGAAGAAACTGGGGAGCACAGAAGGTGGGCGTGTATCATTCTTTCGGCATAAGAACAACCTACTAACAGCCCCCTGGCAAGTAACCAGCTTTTAATGAAACTGTGGCCTGCCATGAGGTTTCCATAATAAAGGATGCACAATCACCTCTTGTTCATGAGGTCTTGACAAATTTGCTATCATCCTCCATGTTATTTTCTGCAATTATATCATGCAGATTCTTCTTGCAGGTCAACTGTCAAACTTGTCTAATATTGTTGGTTTCCCAGTTTGTTTACCAGTCTCAGTTCTCAGTTAAAATAATCCTGTCTTTTATCTAATGCAATACATAGCAAATGTAGATATTTGTTAAAGGAAATGAATGAGCACATAAATATAAATGAATAGGAACAATACTGTTTACTTCATCATTATAACACTTACTTATATAGCTAAGCATTAAAAGTCACTTAATAAGTTGATGAATTATTCTTTAGGAAGAAGTTAAAGTACTTAATTTGAGAGAAAAATAGTCAAATTTTTCAAACACGGAAATTCTCCTGTCAAATTTTCAAACAAAAACTGGGAAATGTCTTAGAAATCTTTTGAAGCTCTTGTTGTAATAGATGGGAGCAGAGAAAAGGCATGGTATTTCACAGTCAAGAAAAAAAAGATTTATGTATTCTGAACTTTGCAAAATAATCTACATTTAATTCATTTACTATGTTTTTTTCTGAATGACCTTTATACATTATTTGTGGTAGGATTCGAAGTGGGAAGAAATATAAAATGAGATAAGATTCAACTCCTTTCTTTAAGAAGCTTAAGATTTAGTGTATCTAGGGGTATAAAAATATAACCTCTAGGAATACATTGATAAATGTTATAAGTTATAAGATTGATTAAATCTGAGCAAATTATAAAATCTTCACAAAGGGAGAGCACGACATAGTGGTTAAGAACTTGGACTCTGTAAATAGTTTTCCTAGGTTTGAATCTAGCTTTCTCTTTCCTAGCTTAGTGTCCTTGGGCAAGCTAAAGATCTGTTCCTTAATTTCCTTATCTGTAAAGGTGGGTTTTGATAATAATAACAACTACCTCAGAGGACTGTAGTAAGAATTAGGAGAGTTGGTGTATGCGGAGTGTTTAAAATGATGTCTGGAGTACAGTAAGGAAGATTGGTGACTCTTTCTGATCAGAGTAAATAGATGTTTACCTGGAGCAGAGGAAGGGGAAGGGCAGTGAAGAGGCTCTGAACCTTTTGCAGGGTTCAGAAATTTAAAACACAGAAGGTTTGAAGAGTTACAGAAAATCAAGGGAGTTGGAATACATGCTTCAGGTCTTCGGCCTGAGGCTCTGGTGGACTGAGACTCTGGCTGTAATGGAAAGGCAGAAAACTCATAGATCGAGCCTTAACCTATGAGTCCACCACTGTAAAAGTTTTACTCACACAGGGCACTTGCTAACTTTCCAAAAAATAAATGAGTCTACTTGCCTGAGTAATCAGTGATTCCTGACTTTCCCAGAAGAGATTATTTTCTTTGGTGTTTGGGGAGATGAGGAAAAGTGATAACGTAGGGAATTGTTCACAAAACTAACTTTTTTCTATTTAAAAGATTACAATTTACTCTGAAGTTAGGATCCTTCAATTTTTGTTGTTGTAATCTCATTTCTTTTATGAATTTATGGTGATAAAAATAATAATTAAAATTGTCTCAAAATAAGATGTTGCTGTCCTTATGATGCCTCCTGCTCTTTAAAATGTTTATGACTTGGCAAATTACAAAAGTCTGGGCATTTCTATTCTGGAGAACCAAATAGTCCTAAACTTTTTATGATATTTCTTGGAGGAAAGCCTAATAGAGCATTCTAAGGCAAACTACTAGGCTTTTAAAAAATATGTGCTTGCTTCTAGAAGAAGCCTAATTAAACTGATCCATTTTAAGTAACATTTCTTTTTCTTTTTTTGAGACAGAGTTTCGCTCTTGTTGCCCAGGCTGGAGTGCAGTGGTGCCATCTCGGCTCACTGCAACCTCGGCTTCCCGGGTTCAAGTGTTTTTCCTGCCTCAGGCTCCCAAGTAGCTGGGATTACAGGCGTCTACCACCACACCCAGCTAATTTTTTGTATTGTTAGTAGAGACGGGGTTTCACCATGTTGGTCAGGCTGGTCTCAAACTCCTGACATTAGGTGACCCACCCACCTTGACCTCCCAAAGTGCTTGGATGACAGGCATGAGCTTGGCCTCCCGAAGTGCTTGGATGACAGCTTAAGTAACATTCTTAGAGTTCACTGTATACAGCCAACACACAGAGAAAGGACACAATCTCTTTTTCTTCTAAATATGATCTACATGTCCTTATTTTTACACCTTGGTTTCAAGTACTCACTGCATTAGAAATACCATCCTCTATCATTGCCTGCTGAAGCCCCATGTCCTATAATGTGTAATTCAAATGCCTTGTTTTCAAGAAAAAGTCCTTAATTGTTTTCTCCTCCATCTTCCAAAACCTTGAGATGTTTAACATACTATAACAAACATAATGTAATATTTGGTGCTTTTTAAGGAGATAAGGACAAGCATGATACTCTTAGGAAGCAGTCAGTAGTAGTAGTCATTTCCCGTGGTTGCCATAACAAAGCACCAAAAACCAGGAGAAGCAACACAACCAAAACTTATTGTGTCACATGTCTTAGGCTAGAACTGTGAAATTAAGATGTCAGCAAGGCTATGCTTCCTCTGGAGGCACTAGGAAAGGAACTACTTCATGCCTTTCTCCTACATTCTGGTAACCTTACCAAAAAGTTAAGTTATAGATGCACTATTCTAATGATAATGTCACCAGATCATGTCTTCATATCATCTTCCCTTTGTGTATGTCTCCCTGTGTCCAAATTTCTCCTTTTTATAAGGATACTAGTTATGTTAGATTAGAGCACACCCTCATGACCTCATTTTAACTTGATTACCCCTTTAAAGACCGGATTTCCAAATAAGGTCACATCCTAAGGTACTGGGAGTTAGGATTTCAACATATCTTTTTTGAACGAAAAAATTCCATCCATAATAGTAGTCTAGAATGATTAGTTTATGAGGATCCTGAGATTTTGAGAAATGAGGTTGGGGTAGTAAACTAGGAGCAGATCACAAAGGCACTTTTTCTGAAGCTAGGAGTTTAGACTTGATCTAATTTGAAAGGACTGGAAGATATTTAGGAGAGGAATGATATGATCATATTTAGGTTTTAGAAAATTTATCTGTTGATTCACATCTTTTATTGCTAGCTGAAGATTCAAAGCTCCAGAGGAATTGAAGGCTTAATTGCTATTTCCTAGCTACTCAGAATAAGTAGGTAGAAGAATCTACCCCTTTGGCAGTTGAAGGGAACTACCTTTCATCAAGGTTGCATTTGTGGGAGATTTCTGCAAAAGAAAGAGTGAGCTGCATTTGGAAAGAGAGGTTGGATGCTAAACAAAAGCAAGCAAACAAACAAAGCAAAACAAAAAATAAAACAGTAATGACATTCTTTAACAGAAACTGGTTAAAATAGAGTTTCATACTAATTCTAATGAAATCCAAGCAACCAACTTTACAAGACTGTTAGTATAACAGGATATGCAGGCTCCAGTTATTTACTGCTGCTAACAAAATATCTGCAAATCTTAGCAGTTAAAGACAACCACCATTGTATTATATCTCACAATTTTGAGTTAGGAATTTGGACAGGGCTCAGCTGGGTGATTCTTCTGCTCTATATGGTATCAGCTAAGGTTATCAGTGATATCTAGTTGGTGATTAGGTTGATCTGGAGCATCCCAGATGGCTTCATCATTTCTGTTCACTTGGGAGGGATGACTGAAAAGCTAAAATGAACTGGGACTGTTAACTAGGGCACGTATCAATGGCTTCTGTAGCAAGGTAGCCTCAGAGTAGTTAATTTCTTACATGGAAGCTCATGGATGTCAGGGAGAGAGTTTCAAGAGGCCTGAGGAAGTTGCAAGCCTTCCTGTTATCTGTACTCAGAAGCCCAGGATGTAACATGCTATTTGGTCAAGCAAGTTACTAAGGCTAGTAACTTGAATTGCTATTCTTTGCTATTCCTCCCACCAAGAGATGGAATCTAATTCCCCTCCCCTGAATTCGAGGGATCTTTAATCTACCACAGCATGGAAGTTAATGTTGAATCAAGTTATTAAATTTCCTCCATATATTTTCAGAGATGCTTTAAATTTCTAACTTTATTTACCCCTATGCCCAAGCAAGTAAACATTTAAAGGCTAATCAAGTGCTTAGCTATAGCTAAGTGTCATACACTGATGATGGCTAAATAAAGCTAAACCTGTGTACTGGTAGACATTACTCACAGCTCAAAACTTTGTGAATTTTGAATTGATAGAACTTAGTTGAGCCACTTGATTAATGTCTCTGAAACATCTTGTATTACTGTATATCCCAATATAATATAAACAAGTAATACAATATGAGAATAATCAAAAGAATGGTATTCACTTAGATATATCATTAAAATAATATATATGCATAGGCAGATGTCAGTCAGTGTTTCAACTCATTTCTATTTAGACATACATAATAGTTTTAAAAAAAGACTTTGGAAGTGTGCCAAAATGAATTGGCACAAAATAATGAGTGGGTAAAAAAATTAGACCACTGGGAATATTTAAAAATCCAACTTTTGGGTACTCTGCTATTTTCTTAGTTTTGCATAGTTCCATAAAACACAAATAGCAGTTTTACTGTTGCTTTTCTGTTGTTTTACAAGCTTAATGTTGGCTGCCAGGGCTATGATGCAGTCAGCATTTTTAGACTGGCATGCATGAAAACATTAGATCCGAGAAGAGAGGCTCAGCATCATTGATATCCTGTAGTGTTTTGTTTCGGGAAATGCCATGCTGGTGATTATAAAGGATGAAGTCATATATTTCTACCAACCACATCCTACCATTATGGTAATTCTAATTGTAGTAAGCTGTGGAATCAATGACAGATAATTAAAAAAAAAAAGAAACAAAATAAAACTTAAAATGTTTGTGAACCTTTTGTTTAATCAAATAACTTTACAAAAAAAAGGTACATTATGGTTCTGGAAGAACAAAAAAATGAGGAATGTATTAGTTTTTATTTGAGGATTTCTGAATGTACACAAAGCTATTATCAGTATTATTATCAACATCATTGTATGAAGTTTTTGTCTTAATGGACTCACGGTTGAAGTTAAGCATACCAGCCTATGACAAATCATGCTGCCTTTCTCTAATTATAGTACCATTAACTAATTCTCTACCAACATATATTCTTCTGCTATAGACAGCCTATTATTTTCTGCTTTTTTCTTACCACTAAAACCACAAAATTAGAATTGGAAGGTAACGTTGGTACTTCTCTGGGACTCATTCCCACTAGTGGAGTCAATATTTGCTGAAAGCTGGGTTCAGTAAGGGAATAGATACTTGCCTTGCCATGATGTGATTTTGCATATTGGTCTGTTTCACAATATCAAGCTCATTAATGGAGACAAATCTTTCCCTTCCTTTCTTCTTGATCTCAAGATTTAAAAAGTGTTAGATTTGGCCAGGCGTGGTGGCTCATGCCTGTAATCCAGCACTTTGGGGGGCCGAGGTGGGCAGGTCACGAGATCAGGAGTTTGAGACCAGCCTGGCCAACATGGTGAAACCCCTTCTCTACTAAAAGTATATAAAAAAATTAGCCGGGTGTGGTGGTGTGCACCTGTAATCCTAGCTACTCTGGAGGCTGAGGCAGGAGAATCGTGTGAACCTGGGAAGTGGAGGTTTCAGTGAGCCAAGATCGCACCATTGCACTCTAGCCTGGGCCACAGTGCAAGACTCTGTCTCAAAAATAAATAAATAAATAAATAAATAAATAAATAAATAAAAGTATTAGATTGATTCCTTCAGTACTTTATTACTGGTTGCTCAGTATTGCACTGTTATGGAGGTTCAAAAGACAAACGAAAAATGTCTGTGACTCAAGGGGTTTATAGTAAAGTCAAAAAGAAAGATATATATATATATATATATATATATATATATATATATATATATACACACAAATATTTTAAATGGTGATTTTATTCTTTGAATGTGTCCAAGTGAGACTTTAAAAGACTGTTTTTCTTATGTTTTGGGAATAATTATTTGACCTATCCTTTCAAAGGTTTACTATCTTGTTGTAGAATAAGTTAAAACTTTGGTTTATCATGTTGGGGTTTCCATAAATTCTCAATTTCAGGTCACTGAATTTAGCCACAGATTCATAGTGGAATTTAGCCACAATTGCAGCAGAATATTCTTTTTTACTTCAAAATTACATTTAATTTCTATCAAGGATTCACCTAGTTGCAATGAGGTTATAGTACATCTCTAATAAGGAGGTATATCTTATACCCTTTAAATTTTAACCCCTATATTGAGCTGAAACTAAACACACAAACTGTTACAAATTAGGGGAGCCTATATGATTAGAGGCTTGAGTGGTTAGATTGCAGTGTATCTGAACACCTGCTATCCAGAGATGCTCAACAATGTAGTGAAGACTGTTAGTGCCACAATGGAGACAATCTATTTTCAGCTCTTACCCCTACCTACAAAGGAGAACAAATGCAACCTTCTCCTTTGCCATAGGACAGACCCCAGATCATGGCAGAGATTACAGTCACACACAAAAAAAGCTAGGATTTAGAAAGAGAGCTATAGGCAGAGCAAGCAAAAGGAAACCTTTTCCTTCATAATATAGCTGTCAGCATTTTGATCAACATATTATAAAGAATCAAAACCTTACATAATCATTTGCTAAATGTACCTGAAGTGAATTTTGAGAAATTTTACACAGAGGCAGAAAAATTGATATGGTTTGGCTCTGTGTCCCCACCCAAATCTCACCTCGAATTGTAATCCCCATGTGTCAAGCGAGTGACATGGAGGGAGGTGATAGGATCATGTGGGTTGTCTTCCCCATGGTGTTCTCACGATAGTGAGTGAGTTCTCACTAGATCTGATGCTTTAAAAGTATTTGGCAATTCCTCCCTACCTCTCTCTCTCTCCTGCCACTTTGTGAAGAAGGTGCTTATTTTCCCTTTGCCTTCCACTATGATTATAAGTTTTCTGAGGCCTCCCCAGCCATGTGGAACTGTGAGTCAGCCGAACCCCTTTCCTTTATAAATTTCCCAGTCTCAGGGAAGTTCTTTATAGCAGTGTGAAAACAAACTAATACAATAATCTACACATGGTATCAAAGGCCTTGATACAAAAATATTACAAACTAAGCACAGACTCCTTAGTCATATTTTCCACGATGTCTTTAATTTGGAGAAAACAAAAGTTGTCTCCAAACTCTAGGGTAAATACACACACATCTACGTTTTATTCAATAGAATGCAGGGGATAAAAGGATTGCCCTTTCCAGAGGTCTTGCCTTTGCTCCCAGGGTCACATGTTGGAAGGGTCTTGGAGAGGTTATGGAGTATACTGTGAAGTATAACAATGAAGTCACAAATATGGTGGACATACTTTGATTTATATAATGAGATTCCTTCCAAGAAAAGCAGTCACACATCAAGAAGAGTGAATTCACAAGATTCTTCTCTCTAATAGATATGTTTTGTGGAAATCAGAACAGTGAAACTAAGGCAGCAGATGCAGAGGCAGAAGTGGGAAATTATAATGAAGAAAATCACAGGACTTTACAGAAAGTATGAGGAAGGCTTTGGCTTTAAGGGAAGGAGATCCAGACAAACATCCATCCATCTCTCATCCCAGAGTTCTCGTTCCATCATTCTCAACAAATCCTTAAGGGTCTATATAGTAGCTGAATTAAGGAACCTCTACACAGATTAGGTGGGTTCAATCAACTTGAATAAAGATTCTAGTGCCTAGAGTAAGTCGATGAGCTAAGTAATGGACTTTCCAGTTTTCTCTTTTAAAACAATCTGATTCTGCTCCATTTTACACTATCATTTTAAATTTCAGGACACCTACATGCCTATACAAGCAAAAGCCATAGTTATAGAGGAAATTTAGCATGCATGTAAAACCCAAGGGTATTGCATCTTTCAATATTTTGGTTGTATTTCCTGGTTAAACACTTTCCTGCTTTCTTTTTACCTTAACCCCATCATATAGGATATTTCTATCTGGTCTTTTTCTATTTTCCTGTGCAGGGGAGCGTAGCAAAAATAGCAAGACAGTGCATGGGTAGATTAAAGAATTATTTTAATAAACATCTATTCATAGCTACCACTAGCATTAATGGAAGACACTAAGTGATATAATTTGAATATTTATCCCCTCCAGATCTCATGATGAAATTTGATCCCCAGTGTGGGAGGTGAGACCTGATGGGAGGTGTTTGGATCACGGGGACAGATCCCTCATGAAGAGCTTCGTACCATTCTCCTGGGATTTAATGAATTCTAACAGTTCCTGTGAAATCTTGTTGTTAAAAAGATTCTACCACCTATCACTGTGACATGCCTGCTCCCTCTTTGCCTTCTGCCATGATTGGAAGCTTTCTAAGGCCCTTACCAGAAGCATATGCTGGTGCAATGCTTTGAGTACAGTCTGCAAAACTGTGAGCCAAAACAAAAACAAAAACAAAAACAAAAACAAAACCCTGTTTTGTTTATAAACTGCCTCAAATCTTCCTTTATAGAAGTAAAAATAGGCTAAGCCATTTAGAGTTTTGAAAATGGGGGCTTCCATAGGGCACTAGAGAAATTCTGTTGGACATCAGGAAGATTAAACAATATGAACCTTCAACTGTGTTGAGTTTTCAAGATCTGATGTTGCCTATAATACAAGGAAGGTACTAATACTTGTTCAGGCACTGGTCTGTGTTGGATTATATGGGGCACTCTCTAATTATTTTCTATAGAGAGGATTCATTAGGAATTCATATAGTGTGATTTAACATAAAGATTAAAATGTAATATTTTTATATCAACAAATCTGCGAACTATGTTCCTCTCCTTCTGTCAGAGTCAGAGCAATTGCTCCTTCCCTCAAGGTAAGTAAGATCAATAGTGAATATTTGGCACTGCAAAACATGCCTCTCTGAACATACATACAAATTCTTGAGGCCGGGCATGGTGGCTCACGCCTGTAATCCCAGCACTTTGTGAGGCCGAGGCGGGCCGATTACCTGAGGTCAGGAATTTGAGACCAGCCTGGCCAATGTGGTGAAACCCCATCTTTACTAAAAATACAAAAATTAGCCAGGCGTGGTGGCATACGCCTGTAATCCCAGCTACTCAGGAAGCTAAATCAGGGTAATCACTTGAAGCTGGGAGGCGGAGGTTGCAATGAGCCGAGAAGGCGCCCCTGCACCCCAGCCTGGGCGACAGTGAGACTCCGTCTCAAAAAAAGAAAAAAATAAATTATTGAAAATATAAAACATGGAAGTATTTTTTCCATTACTGAAAGTAGTATTGTTTGTAAAAACTGTAAGTTATATGGAAGCATTTTCAGTATTTTTGTTTTGTTTCATAGGAAGTTTTATTTGGGGATATTTCATATGTAAAAGCTATTGAACCAGGCAGTTACCAGATAGTTACTTAAAATCAACAAAACTCTGCTATTTTATGAAAAGTCCAATAACCTACAACTTCACCTTGCTCTGAACTGGTAAAAATGCCTCTGTGACTGACAAATGGATGAATCAGATGACGAGCATATTGAAGCAGGCATAATTGAACCTCTAAACACATAATTGAACCTCTAAACACATGGGCCCCCACAGCTCTTTTTGCCTGGTAACAAAATGAGGCTGTTATTGATGTAGTACATTACAACAACAAAATGTGAGTTACTTGTGGTTAGCAACCAATAGTAAAATAATTAGATGCTATAATTTACAGTGATATTTTTGAGTGGACAAAAACTTGACAATGACCAGATAATTTGAACTAGGTTATATTAAATGCAAGAATAGGAAGTTTTGGAAGAATGTAACTGGCTTTTTGATGTTTACCTACCTCCAGAGACACTTCTGTATGTCCTGAATTTTGGCTTGGAAATATTGGTAAGAAATTGAGCCTGTGCATAGAACCATGTCTGGAATTACGTTGCAGAGGGTGGCATCCACATAGAATACAATGTAAGTAGTCCTTGTGATAGTGAGTGCGTTCCAATGTGAATCTGACACAACTGAAAGTATTCTAGAATGCTTTCTTGTCTTAATAGACAAAGTTTGAAATTTTCTTTCAATTTTGAGTGAAAGGATTGGAAATTTGAATCATACTCAGATCAATTAAAGATCTTATCAGTATTGAGCTTTCCTAAGAATTTCATGGAAATGTGTAATTGTGAGTCATATAAAAAGCAAGGAAAAGTCTGGGACACCCTGTGTGGTTACTTGGTCTTCCCTCTCAGATCAGCACATATTCCTTGGCCCAGAATAATATAGGAAGTCTCTAAGTATACACGGGTTGCTTATATATTGGAGAGCATTTAGATTATAAAACATTTCTATTATACATGCAAGAAAGCTGTGCAGATTACATGGTTTTCTCTTGGGAGCCATGTCTCACACCATAAGCAATCCTAAACCAGGGACATACTGTTAAGAGCATCCGATATATAAGAATACTCCTTCTAGCATATATCCTCAGGCTATTTTCCCAGAGATCCAATTATCATGTTCCAAGAAGATAAAACTGGTCACCCAACTTCTTTCTTATGTCAGGGATATTATCATGGTAATCAGGAAGGGACTAGGTCACAGACCCACTGCATTAGTTCTTTTCTCCCCAATTTAAACTGAGAAAGCACTTGCTTTACAATATTTTATCTCAGTATGTTTCATTCATAGTTATGGTTACCTAAGATTATAAATGACAATATGTATTGAGTGCTGATATGGTTTGGCTCTGTGTCCCCACCCAAAACTCGTTTCATATTGTAATCCCCATGTGTCAGGGGAGGGACCCAGTGGCTGGTGATTGGATCATGGGGGCAGTTTGCCCCATGCTGTTCTCGTGATAGTGAGCGAGTTCTCATGGGATGTGGTGGTTTAAAAGTGTGTGGCAGTTGCCTCCTTGTTCTGTCTCTCTCCTGCTTCACCATGGTAAGATGTGCTTACTTCTTCTTCACCTTCTGCCATGATTGTAAGTTTCCTGAGTCCTACCAGTCTTGCTTCCTGTTAAGCCTGTGGAACTGTGAGTCAATTAAACCTGTTTTCTTTCTTTTTTTTTTTTTTTCATAAATTACCCAGTCTCAGGTGGTTCTTTATTGCAGTGTGAGAATGGACTAACTTATTATAGTTATATAGTGCTTACTAATGCTGGGCATTGTTCCAAGAGCTTTTCCTGTATTGACTCCTTAGATCATCAAACAACCTATGAGGTAAATATTATTTGTATATATTGCAGATAGGGAAATTGAAGAAGCACAGAGAAGTTGCATAATATACTTGAGACCATATAACTGGTAAATTTTAGAACCTGAATCCAAACTCAGGTAGTTTGGACCTAGAGCCTGAGCTGTTACCTGCCAGGTTATGCCACCTAACTACATCAAGAAGTAATCAAGGAGAAGCAACACAAAGGGTGGAATAATTCAGACTCTGGACCTGTGCCTGTCTTCTCAGCAAGCTCCTCATGGTAAACATAATGTAGTGCATATCCCCATTCAACCCAAGTCACTTTGCAGGAAATCTTAAAAGCAAAAATTTTAATTATATTTTTCTCATTAGTCACCTAAACATTACAGTATTAATTGGAAAGTACATTTAAGTTAGATAAGAATGTGAAAATTCTTACTATAACAATATGTTAAAGGTCCTTTAAAAGTGTTTTCTAATGTGTCCAACACCAATTTGTCTTTCATTTCTGAGTTACTATTGGCCTAGATCTAATTGATCTTATCCTAATTATTCTGACGGCAACATGGCCAGAAGTAAAGACAATCAAAGAAAGGAAAAGATGGATATCACTTTTTATACACTTAAATATGTTATTTTAATAGCTCAAATAATATAACCTGCATGAGATAAATATAGTGAATTCATTAGATAATGTTTTATATTTGGGGGAGGTTTTAAAATGCCGTCTGATATGGTTTGGCTTTGTGTTCTTACCCAAATCTCATGTTGAATTGTATTTCCCAATGGTGGGGGAGGGACCTGGTGGGAGGTGACTGGATCAGCAAGATTTCTCCTTTGCTGTTCTTGTGATAGTGAGAGGGTTCTCATGAGATCTGGTTGTTTAAAAGTGTGTAGCACATCCCCCTTCACTCTCTCTCCTGCTCCAACATGTCGCTTCCCCATTGCTTTCCTCCATGATTGTAAATTTCCTTGAGTCTCCCCAGTTGTGCTTCCTGTACAGCCTACAGAACTGTGAGTCAACTAAACCTCTTTTCTTTATGAATTACCCAGACTCAGGCAGTTCTTTACAGCAGTGTGAGAACAGACTAATATAACCATCCATTCATGTAACAAATATTTATTGAGTTTCTGTTATGTGCTAGGCATTATTTAGGTGCTGATGTCATGGAGAACAAAACAGACAAGATACCTGCTGTAATGGAGTTTTTATGTGGGTAGAAATGAGATAGGTAATATAGATGACAATACACAATTTAATGAAAAAATAAATGGAAGATATATGGTATTGAGCGTTATGAAAATAGCTAAGCTAGGATATTGTGATAGTGAATTACTGGTAGCTACCTTAGAATAGGTGGTTAGGAGAGACCTCTCTGAAGTGGTGACAAGAAGCTAATATCAGAGTGACCAGGAGGATCCAACCAAACAGAGAAGCACACAACCTAGAGCTTTCTGAGCAATAGGTAGTTTTGAGGACTGGAAGAGTTGGCTTGTCATGTTCTAGGAACAGAAAAAAAAGCTGAACCTGCTGGATGGTAGGAGGCAAAGAAGAGAAGAGAGTGATAAGCTCAGAAAGGCAGGTGGATCTAGTTCACGTTGGGCTTTATTAGCCTAGGAAAATTTGGATTTCTTTCCAGTGTGATGGGAAACCATACTGCAGTAGGAGCTGCATTTTAAAATGATGCCCATTTTGAAAGATCACTCAAGCTACTATGCGGAGAATGGATCATTGAAGGTGTTAGTCGAAGATGGGTTTGGCTGCATGTAATAGAAAAACCAGTGCAATAACTTAAATAAGATAGAATTTTTTATTATTCTTTTTATTTTTCTCACATGACACAACATCCAGAGGTAGGCAGTCTGAACTGCCATAGCTATGTTTGCGATTTCTTTGGTGTTTTTCCTCATGTTCAATATTAGTCCTGGGTAACAGACAGAAAAAGGGTGCCCAAAGGACAGAAGCCTTCTCTGCCAGCTAAACCATGTCCTTTTAAAGCAGTTTATTCAGAAATCTCACCTAAAAATGTTTGCTTACCATGTATGGATCAATACTGTGTATGTGGCCAACACTATAGCAAGAAAGACTATTTCTGGGTGTTGACCTAGACTCATTGCTGCCTTCATAAAAATTATGGTCAGGTATTCATCTTTCTAAGCTTGTTGTATTTCCTGTAAAATAATAACAATAATAATGATAAATGGTGACTTCATTATGGTGAAATCAAAGTTTAAAATGAGATGATGCGATCAGAACATTTAGCACAGTGACTGACTTATGGTAAGTACTCAATAAATACTATCTATTAGAATGTAAGCTTCACGAAAGTAGGAATCAAGTCTGCCTCATGCAAGCATTCAGTAAATATTTGTTGAATGCTGAACCAATAAATGCATGAGGTAAATTCTCATGAAGTTTACAGGGTAGGACTGTGGTTGTACCACAGTCAGTAGAGTGTATACATTTGCGTTAAAAATACATGAGGAAAAAAAACACCAACAGAGTGCTTTACAAACATATAATTAACAGATCCTAGATTAAGCTCACATTGCATTCTCTGGATTTTTGGAAGAAAACTCATTGCTGGTAATGTTGTCCCTGGAGTATTGCCAACATTCAAAAATATCAATTTGTTTCAAATGATGTTCTGTGAAGGCAGGATAATGCAGAAGAAGACAGAATTTAACTCTTAAAATTCAAGAGCTTTGAGTTAGTTTAAAAACAAAAAACAAAACCTCTGTACTATTTTAATTTTTTTTCACTTTGGGGGAATAATTTACAACCATCTGAAAAATAACACCCAATTCTAGTCTTTTTTACATTGTGAATTACATTCCAAAGAGGTGAATGTTTTTTCTAAAGAAATTTATCAATAGCTATTTAGTTATCAAGCTATTTTTATGAGGTCTTAATTTTTGTTTCTATTTTGTGGAAGGCTGATGACCATTTGCTAGCTTTTCTTTGTCTAAGGCTAAATTTTAAGCCCTATTATATTATAGTCTCACTTTTTAAAAAGTTTCATGCCATTACAAATTCATCTCACAGAAACAAATGTGATAGTCACTAAGCAATTTTGAAGATTTAACTTTCTAAAGCCTGGTTAATATGTATACATTTCTGAAGCTAAGGAGCAAATATCTAAGCATTTCTATCTTTTCAGTAGAGCAATAAAGTAAGTCGAGGAATTTATGAGGAAACTCTTGAAGATCATGCACATGAATTTAGATACCATTTGTTGACCATAAGGAACCACTGAAAGGCTTTTGAGGAGGGATATAATGTGTTCAAATTTTCAGGCTAGAAATATAATTCTGCCTTCAGGAGGTAAGATAATGGATTGAGGTAGTCGTGATAAGAGAAACAGAAGTAACCAAGTAGAATATTGAACTGGTCAAGAATCATGCAGTTTTGTCTCAGGGTACCAGCAGTGTAGATGCTTGTGAGTGAATCAGTTTAACTTTTGTTTTAATGGTAGAATCAACAGTACTGAAAAGAAATTGGACATGTAGAAGTAGGAAAGAGGAAGAGACAAAGAAGGGTTTTGGCTATCTGCAGAAAGCAATTAGATGGCATCACTAACCTGAGTAATGAAGACAGGAGTAAGTTTGGGGAGAAGAATAATGAGTAAGTTTTAGGCATATGAAGGATCCAGTGATGTCCAGTAAGAAGCTGAATACACAGTATTCTAAAATTCAGAAGAGTGTTTTGAGCTGAAGATATAAAAGCTATGGGAACAGATTATTAGAGTAAGTTGAAAAGAATATAGAAAACCAATTTAGTGAAGCATGACTAAGAGCTGCAAGTTTGCGGGGAAAAGGGATTGTCTGGCAGAGGTGGCAGAAGGACTGACCTGTGCACATCCATAGGCACATGGAATAGCAGGATGAATGTGGGAAACTAGAGGGAGTTTGATACCAAAGCGTGGCACGTGAGACTAAAGAGGCAGGCCACGTCCAGATTTTATAAAGGGAAATCTGGTATGACAGTTATTCTAAAGAGCTTGGGCTTTATCTTGCAATTAATGGGAAACCATTGAAAGGTTTTTAATGGGGAGTGACTCGATACCATCAGACTGCTGACAATCATGATGGATGGAATATGGGGAGTCTGGCAGGAAAGAGGGAAACTAATTAGAAGTTCTTGCAATCACTTGGTGAGAGATAATGAGGCGTTTACTAAGATAGCAACAGTGGGAAAGGATGTGAGGACAAAGAGTGAAGATATATTTAGAATTGGTTGGCTATAAGGGCAGAAGGAAAGTGAGGGGTCAAGGATGATGCCTAGTGTTCTCATTTGGGTGAGTAGATGAATAAATCTTAACATCAACAACTGTGAAAGATAATGAAGGAGGGAAAAAGGACTGAGAAGGTATGGTCAAATAATTAGGAAGAAATATAGAAAGAAAGTAGTGTGGCGTGTACTTCAAGAGTGTATCACGAGCGTAGAGAGTTTCAGGAAGTGGACAGTAGTGCTAAATGCTTTTAGCAGCCAGGTCAGTTAAGAACCAAAAATTCTCTTCTGATTTAACGACCAAGAGGACAGTTTCTGGGTGAAAGTGGTTTCAGTGGGGTGGTACAGACAGAAACCAGACTGCTGTGGGAGGAAGACGAAGGGAGGAAGTGGCGATAGTCTAGACACCTTCAAAAAGCATAGAAAGTAATACAAAATAGAGACAGAGAACAAAATGAGACTGTAGAATAAATCCAGTTTTCTTCTTGACTGGTGTGATAGGATATATACATATGTATCTGTGTGTCTATATCTACCATATAATATCAATGGCCATATATATGTTATAAACACATATATCACCTATTACCCCTCATCCAAAAATATATATTCTAATTTATTTTTCTATAGATGAAATTCAATCATTTAATATACAATGTGAACAATTTTCAATTATAAGAAATGAAATATAAAATAATATTAAATACTATCATTGAATATCTTAGTGAACAATTGAAATAATAAAAAGGAATATAAAAATAATATTAAATACTGAGCAATAATTTTATTACTCTTATACTTTGTAGAATATTTCAATTAAATATTATTTTGCCAATTTAAAACAAAGAATGAAGTTCTGCTTATGAAGAGGAAGTCCTCTCCCACTGCTTACATTTTCCATATGTTATTTATTTTTTAGCAATAGGATAATTATTTCCAGATTCCTCTTTAACCTCTGAAGGCCTCTGGAATGTTTACTTTACATAGGCTTTTGTCTTATTGTTGTGGTGCTAAGTATTTCTTTAAAGTGGGATTTTGGATACCTAGGATTAGCATTCATGAATCAGCAGAGCCCTCTAATCAAGTAAAACCAATCTCCAGCAACTTAATAAAACAAAAATGTGTTCCCCTTGTTTAAAAACAGAGTATCAGCTGTGCTAGAATGAATGTTATTTTTCATTTATCTTCTGAAACTATCTCTCAGATGCTTTACTTATTAATTAATTCATTAAACAACACTTACTTTGTGTCTGTCTACTATGTACCAGGCACTGTTTAGATGCTAGGGGCTACAGCAACACAAAATTAGTAAAAGTCCCTTTTCTTTGCAGCCTTCAGGAGCCTTAATCACAAATTAGATCCCTAGCTCTGCAAAGATGCCCTCCATATACCACTCAAACTCAGATGCCTCACACCATGCTGCCCTCTCTCACCCTTTCCAGGTTCTGACATGCTAAACTGGGTCATGACTCCATTTTCCATATGGATACTGTCAAAGGAAAAAAGTAGTTTAAGTGAATCGAATTGAGATTAAAGTATTTATCCAGCTCGTGCACATCAGGAATGACTTGAAAATCAGGTAACTTCCCTAACTGAAGCAGGATTGGAGTTCTATGGGGTGAGGAGAGGAGAGGTATATGTGTACTTTTGGTCTGGCCCAGATTGAAGTTACATTCATCTTTAACTGTTGTAAAACTTTCAGTTTAAAGGTCTGAGATTGTTCTGGTTTTCATGCCTCTTGTTCTGGATCATTGTTTCATTTCCCTCCTGGCAACTGTCAGAACAGTTCTTTCAAGAGCTGTTTTTACAATATTTGCAGTTTTTTAAGGTTCGCAGGCGGGGGTGGAGGGAAAGAAAAAAAAGATGGAGGGTGGAGGGAAAGAGGAGAAAAACAGCAAATAAGGAAGGCAAGGTTTGAAACAAGAGAAACTGAGGTCTGTTTAAATCCTTTTACTATACACTCTTCACCCCGTCAGCTCTAACTCCTCATGCAGGGGAGCTTCAATGTACATGTTCTCTTTCTCCTGATTGTGTTTCAACAACCCTGAGTCAATTCCCTAACTTGCTCTGACCAAGTTAGACATAGGCATTAGGATGAAGTTGTTCTGAAAGGTAAGAGAGGACAGGGGGCTGAAAAACTAAATAAATAAAAGAAAACAGGCCGGGCGCGTTGGCTCACGCCTGTAATCCCAGCACTTTGGGAGGCCGAGGCGCGCGAATTACGAGGTCAGGAGATCGAGACCATCCTGGCTAACACGGTGAAACCCCGTCTCTACTAAAAAATACAAAAAATTAACCAGGTTTGGTGGCGGGCGCCTGTAGTCCCAGCTACTCCGGAGGCTGAGGCAGGAGAATGGCGTGAACCCGGGAGGCGGAGCTTGCAGTGAGCCGAGATCGCGCCACTGCACTCCAGCCTGGGCGACAGAGCGAGACTCCGTCTCAGAAACAAACAAAACAAAACAAAAGAGGAGGGGAAGAGCACACTCAACTACTTTTTTTTTTTTTTTTTTTTTTTTTTTTGAGACGGAGTCTCGCTCTGTCGCCCAGGCTGGAGTGCAGTGGCGCGATCTCGGCTCACTGCAAGCTCCGCCTCCCGGGTTCACGCCATTCTCCTGCCTCAGCCTCCCGAGTAGCTGGGACTACAGGCGCCCGCCACTACGCCCGGCTAATTTTTTGTATTTTTAGTAGAGACGGGGTTTCACCGTGTTAGCCAGGATGGTCTCGATCTCCTGACCTCGTGATCTGCCCGCCTCGGCCTCCCAAAGTGCTGGGATTACAGGCGTGAGCCACCGCGCCCGGCCTCAACTACTTTTAAACTCCCATCCCACTGAAATGTCTCTCCCATTTATAAAACTTCAGTGCTGTCCTTGAGCTTTCACAATACAGTTATTTGTTAAGATCAAAGACAACACAGTCAGAAAGATCTGGATTCTAGTTCACTCTTTGCCACTTACTACATGTATGTCCTTGAGGAAAATAGTTAATCTTTCAACCTCATTATCTTCTAAATATACATTATTATATTGTAATAGTAAACATTTTTGATACATTTACCAAAAATCCAGATCTAACTGGATTACTCAAAAATTTATTGAATTATAGAACTTGAACATGGGAAAGCAAAGTTAGTGTCAGCAAAGATGGGATCCTACACCTGGATCCTCCTCAGGACTTTATCTTGTTTCTGTTACTTTTTGTGTGTTGGTTTCATTCTCTCCTACTGCAGCAGGGCTTTCTCCATGTGAAAGGCAATAGGGCATAGACATCTTTGGATTTGCAACCCGTTAGCATCAACACTGGAGAGAAATTGATCTATCTATCAGATGCAGCAAGGAAAAAATCTAGGAGTGATCGCAGATTTTGGCCTAACTTGGGCTACTTGCCCATTCCCAACTCAATCACTGTGGTCAAGAGTATGGGGCATGATGTCTAAATTATATACCCATTCTTGTGGCCAGAATGTGGTTGTCAGTTACAGGGTCTTGCTAGCCAAACAAAGGCAATGGTCACTACCTAGTTCATACAGTTTCCTTAAGAAACAAATTGTTATAAAAAATCAGTCAGTATATGAAAACAATGACAACAACAAAACCTCAGAACTCAATAGACACTAATCATAAAGCAACTCTATTCCTTTTCCCATTGTGCTTAAAACTCCTTTGGAATAGTACTACTGTTTTCTCTATACTTGGAATACATTTGGGTAGACTGGACTATTTCTCTGCTTTATTTTAATCACAAGAAAATACAAATCTCATTTTGTAATTAAGATGTACTCCAGTGTAATGAAGTATTTAACTTCAAACTTAATGCAAATTTAAAGATTCTATTTAGCATTCCCCCAAGATGTATGGATGGTTTGCTTTTCTATTCCTTAAATTTATTCTTCACACCCACTAGCTAACCATGGTTTCTAATCTCTGAATTTTTCCTAGAGGGGAGAGAGAAACAAGGTAAAACTGGCATAGTGACAAGTACTGTTGTCACATGGCTGGTCATATCACTGAGGAATGTGCAATCGAATCTTACAAGCTTGTAAGATGTCAAACTGGTTTTTCCATAAGATTTTATTGCACATTTCTCAGACATTTCTCTCCAAGAACCTTCCAGTTGCACTTCCATTGATTTAGGGAATGTCTTCTAAGGCTAGTAACTTCAAGTTCTCTCTTATTCAGTTTTCCAAGTCATCCTTCTGAAAAATCACTTGGCCCCTCCAACGGCCTTCCTGAGTAGGATCCCTTTCAAGAAGGTCCAGGGGGCCTGTTTCTTATTTGCGCCCCCACCCCCCAACCCACTTTTTTTTTTTTTTAATCTTTGGGAAGAGTAGCCTGTAGAAATAGAATTTTAAGAAAGTTATAAACATGACTCTTACACCAGTATACAGTGAGCATATGTGAAAGATTTATTTGACTCATTTATAAGGGAACCAGCAGGATAGTAAACCCAGTTCAAAAGGTATTTGGGAAACAAAGTATGTATAGGTACTGAAGAAAAATGTTAGAAAATATTTGATAGGTTACATATAAAACTGATAAAAGTCCTAAAGATCAATAAAACTATAACTTTGGGGACTGTCTTTTCTAGTAGACAGAAATGATTTGCATCTCTACTGGATAAGAATCTGCAGGTAAATACGTAATTTCATAGGCTCTGGATCCTAATGGCAAACACTCTCTTAAGATAATTAAATAATATTCTAGTATATAACATTGAAATGATGTCCAGTCTTCCTTTTGCATTATTTCCATGTTCTGTAAAAATTTTCCAAAAAGTCTGTTTATCTAGCTTGTCATCAGTGGAAGTGCAACTTGTATTTCTCTCTGTTCTGCTGCCTTAGGAAATCTAGCCAATCACTGCGCACTAACCTCTAGAGGCACATATTATCCTAAATGTCTTAATCCCTTCTCAAATAGTCTAAGGTAGGAAAAAGTGCTTCTTCATCTCCCAGTGGAGAATGGAATGCCAGAAGAGACTACTGCAGCACGGGCTTCAAAAGAATCTCCCCATAGCCTCTTCAGCTTGTTGAATAGGCTTGAGGTGAGCAGTCATAACTGGGGGCAGGACAGCTTTCACCATATCTTACTTTGTCCAGATAGCATCTTGCTTGAAGGTGTAGGAATACTTGCTACTGTAACTGCCCAATGGGTTCACCTTGCTGGCTGCCTAGACAGAGCTGATTTATCAAGACAGGCCAATTACAATGGAGAAAGAGTAATTCATGCAGAGCCTGCTGTGTGGGAGACTGGAGTTTTGTTATTACTCAAATCAGTCTCCCCAAGCATTTGAGGACTGGAGGTTTTAAAGATTTGGCAGGTAAGTGCTCCGGACGTGGGGAGTGCTGATTGGTCAGGTTGGAGATGGAATCAAAGTGAGGTTTTCTTGCTGTCTTCTGTTCCTGAGTGGGATGGCAGAACTGATTGAGCCAGATTACTAGTCCGGGTGGTGTCAGCTGATCCATCCAATGTAGGGTCTGCAAATATCTCAAGCACTGAGCCTAGATTTTACAATAGTGATGTTATCCCCAGGAGCAATTTGGGGACGTTCAGACTTTTGCAGTCAGAGGTTGCATGACCCCTAAACTGTAATTTCTAAACTTGTAGCTAATTTGTTAGTCCTCCAAAGGCCGACTTGTCCCCAGGCAAGAAAGAAGTCTTTTCAGGAAAAGGTTATTTTTAATTTTGTTTCAGAGTCAAACCATAAACTAAATTCCTTCCCAAGGTTAGTTCGGCCTACACCAG
Source organism: Homo sapiens (assembly GCF_000001405.40). Taxonomy (NCBI): domain Eukaryota; kingdom Metazoa; phylum Chordata; class Mammalia; order Primates; family Hominidae; genus Homo; species Homo sapiens. Next base: position 52,684,692 of record NC_000010.11, read on the forward strand.
AAATGAACAAGGATAGCTTAAATGTTAGAAGCCAAATGGAGTCAGTTAGATCTAATCTCTTTCACTGTCATAATTTCCTCAGTTATAATTTTTGCAAAGGCGGTTTCACTACCTACTGCATTGTTCTTATCCTGTAGTGCTTCTGGTAAAACTTCTAGACAATGAGACTTGCATTTAATATTACTTATGTGTAAAGCACTCAGTACAGGACCATGTAGCCCTGAAGGTGAATACAGCCTTCAGTTCTGTGTCCTAAGAGCATCTATTGCTTCACCCTGGTCCCACCTCTGTTCGGTAGAGTATGTGGTATTTAATAAGCACTCCATAAACGCTCATAATCTGAACTGTACTACTGTTACTCTTTTTGTTACTTCCCAGAGAATAAAAAGTTTACATTTTTTAACCTTGCACACATGACCATTTACAATTTCTTCTGAGATTTCCTTTTCAAACTCACCTTCCGGGATTTTTTTTTTTTTTTAACCAATCATGTCCCTTGTGGTTCATACTCACTGGGGTAGCTATTAACATAGGCATAAGGGTTAAGAGCATGCAGTTTGTGGTCAGACAGAATTGAATCTCAGCTGGGCGTGGTGGCTCACACCTGTAATCCCAGCACTTTGGGAGACCGAAGTGGGCAGATCACAAGGTCAGGAGTTAGAGACCAGCCTGGCCAACATGGTGAAACCCCGTCTCTACTGAAAATACAAAAATTACCATTGCTTCTGGTGTTTTAGTCATGAAGTCTTTGCCCATGCCTATGTCGTGAATGGTATTGCCTAGGTTTTCTTCTAGCGTTTTTATGACTTTAAGTCTTACATTTAAGACTTTACTCCATCTTGAGTTGATTTTTGTATAAGGTAAAAGGAAGGGGCCCAGTTTCAGTTTTCTGCATATGGCTAGCCTGTTTTCCCAGCACCATTTATTAAATAGGGAACCCTTTCCCCATTTCTTGTTTCTGTCAGGTTTGTCAAAGATCAGATGGTTGTAGATGTGTAGTATTATTTCTGAGGCCTCTTCTGTTCCATTGATCTATATATCTGTTTTGGCACAAGTACCATGCTGTTTTGGTTACTGTAGCCTTGTAGTATAAAGAGCTTCTGCACAGCAAAAGAAACTATCATCAGAGTGAACAGGCAACCTACAGAATGAGAGAAAATTTTTGCAATATATCCATCTGACAAAGGACTAATATCCAGAATCTATAAGAGAACTTAAACAAATTTACAAGAAAAAAAAACCCCATCAAAGAGTGGGTAAGGATATGAACAGACACTTCTCAAAAGAAGATATTTATGTGGCCAACAAACATATGGAAAAAAGCTCATCATCACTCGTCATTAGAGAAATGCAAACCAAAACCACAATGAGATACCATCTCATGCCAGTTAGAATGTCAATCATTAAAAAGTCAGGAAACAACAGATGCTGGAGAGGATGTGGAGAAATAAGAATGCTTTTACACTGTTGGTGGGAGTGCATATTAGTTCAACCATTGTGGAAGACAATGCGGTGATTCCTCAAGGATCTAGAAGCAGAAATACTATTTGACCCAGCAATCCCATTATTGGGTATACACCCAAAGGATTATAAATCATTCTGCTATAAAGACACATGCACACGTATGTTTACTGTGGCACTGTTCACAATAGCAAAGACTTGGAACCAACCCAAACATCCATCAATGATAGACTGGCTAAAGAAAATGTGGCACAGGTACACCATGGAATACTTTGCAGCCATAAAAAAGAATTAGTTTATGTCCTTTGCAGGGACATGGATGAAGCTAGAAACCATCATTCTCAGCAAACTAACACAGGAACAGAAAACCAAACACCTCATGTTCTCACTCATAAGTGGGAGTACAATGAGGACAGATGGACACAGGGAGGGGAACATCACACACCAGGGCCTGTAGTGGGGTGGGAGGCTAGGGGAGGGATAGCATTAGGAGAAATACCTAATGTAGATGATGGGCTGATGGGTACAGCAAATCACCATGGCATGAGTATACATATGTAACAAACCTGCACATTCTGCACGTGTATCCCAGAATTTAAAGTATTAAAAAAAAATTAGCCAGGGGTCATGGTGCATGCTTGCAGTCCCAGCTACATGGAAGTCAGAGGCACAAGAATTGCTTGAACCTGGGAGGCAAAGGTTGCAGTGAACTGAGATCATGCTACTGCTCTCCAGCCTGGACAACAGAGCGAGACTCTGTCTCAAAAAAACAAACAAAAAAAGAATTGGATCTGATTTGACTATGCAAATTATCACTTGGGACCTTGGGCAACTTATTCAACCCCTGAAGGTTTCAGTCTTCTTATATATAAAATGAAGATAACAGAGACTTCTTCATAGACTGTTTGTTATAAGATTAGCAAAAACAATGTACTTGAAATGCTTAGAAGATAATACATGCTCTATAAATGATGGCTATCCTTTTGTGCCTGAATCCTTGGGTTCTTTTGTAATTTCCTGCCTGATGTGGTTTGGCTTTGTGTCCCCACTCAAATCCCATCTCAAATTGTAATCCCCACCTGTCAAGGGAGAGACCTTGTTGAAACCCCCTTTGCAAAATTATAACTGAGGAAATTATGTCAGTGAAGGAGATCAGACCTAACCGACCCCACCTTCCTTCTAACCCCTAAACTGTCTTTGTTCATTCCTGGGTGTAAGTGAAACTAGCCTTGGGAAGGAAGACTTCTCTAAGTAGGCTACTTATATTCTTTGTAATGTTTTACACAGTTTACCTCTTTCATCATTGTTGTTTCATTTTAATTGATCATTTGTAGCATATTGTCATGACACAATTATTTAAGAATCAAGATTCAATTTCTGGTCCCAGTTCTAGTGGTGTAATTTTGTGCAAAAAAAAAACATGTCTCATGTCCATTTTCAGACTTGTGCTGCCTATTATCTTCAAAGCTCATATTAACATTCCACAGAACTAGCTTCTCTAGAGATGAATTTTACCAAAAAGTGTACTAATACTTCAAACCAATAGATTATGTCACATGAAGCAAAAGTAAGAAGTAAAACAAATGGAGTGACATATGTGATGACCCTTGTTTTCAGAAAATATGTATATTTGTACCCCTAAATTATCCAGGGAACAAATAGAAAGTCTTAATCAAATTAAATAAAGTCATTACCTGAAAGATAAATCTAAAAACCTCAATAACTTAACATTTGCTTTTAACTATTTAGAAAGTATTAGAAATATGTGCAATTTCCATCTGGGTACCACGGCTTACACCAGTAATCCCAGGAGTTTGGAAGGCCGAGGCAGGAATTTGAGTTGAGCCTAGGCAACACAGCAAGACACCATCTCTACAAAAATTTTAAAAATTAGCCAGGTATGGTGGTGCATGCCTGTGGTCCCAGCTGCTTGGGAGGCTGAGGCAGGAAGACTGCTTGAGCCTAAGAGGTTAAGGCTGCAGTGAGCTTTGATCACGCCACTGCACTCTAGCCTAGGTGACAGAGTGAGACCCTGTCTCAAAATAAATAAGTAAATAAGACATATACCATTTCCAATAGCATCACAAATATAAAATACTTGCAAATAAGCGTTAGAAAAAAAGTGTGTATTGCAGGGGCAGTGACAGATTCTATCTGAGGAGCATGTGCTGAGAGGCACTGTGAAAGACATGATTAAATAGTGAATAAATGAGATCCTGATGGAAAGATTCATATTATAAACACATGAAGTCATTGCAAATTTTTAAACTTAATACCATTCCATAAGATTTTGAATGTTTTTTAAGGAAAATATTTGATAAAAATGTTTTATTATTACAATTTACTATATCATCTCTATGTGCCAGACATCTAAGTTTAAGCATTTTACATGTATTAGCACATGTAACCCTAATGAAATTGCCTTTGCAAAATTATGACTGAGTCAGTGAAAGAGATCTAACTTAACCGACTCCATCTTGCTTCTAACCTCCAAGCTGTCCTTGTTCATGCTTGGGTATAGGCTGAACTTACTTTGGGAGAAATTTTGTAGTTTATAGTTGAAACAAAGACAGTAACAGCCCTTTCCCAAAGCGGACCTCCTTCTTGCCTGAGGACTAGATTGCCTTTGTGAAATTAACGGTAGCCACAGGATTAGAAATTATGGTTTAGGAGTCATGCAGCTGGAGGCTACAAGATTCTGACCCTCTCTAAACTGCTCTTAAAATCAGTGCTTGAGTTATTTTGCAGATCCTGCACTTGATGGATCAGCTGGCCCCACCCAGATCAATAAACTGGCTCATCTGATCTTGTGGCCTCCACCCAGGAACTGACTCAGCACAAGAAGAGAGCTTTAACTCCCTATGATTTCATCCCTTACCAGTCAGCACTCCTGGCTCACTGGCTTATCCCCACCCACTAAGTTACCTTTAAAATCTCTGCTCCTCGAATGCTTGGGTAGACTGATTTGAGTAATAATAAAACCCCGGTCTCCCCCACGGCCGGCTCTGCGTGAATTACTTGTTCTCTATTGCAATTCCCCTGTCTTGAGGAATCAGCTCTGTCTAGCCAATGGGCGTGGTAAACCTCTTGGGTGGTTACACTAACAATAACCTCTGTAGGAAGTGCTATTATTATGTCCTTCTTAAAGATAAGAAAGCTGGCCGGACAGGGTGGCTCACGCCTGTAATCCCAGCACTTTGGGAGGCCAAGGAGGGCGGATCATGAAGTCAGGAGTTCAAGACCAGCCTGGTCAACATGGTAAAACCACATCTCTACTAAAAGTACAAAAAAATAAAAATTAGCCAGGCCTGGTGGCATGTGCCTGTAATCCCAGCTACTCAGGAGGCTGAGACAGGAGAATCGCTTGAACCTGGGAGGCAGAGGTTGCAGTGAGTGGAGATCCTGCCACTGCACTCCAGCCTGGGCGACAGAGTGAGACTCCATCTCAAAAAAAAAAAAAAAAAAACAAACAAAAAAGCATAAAGATAAGAAAGCTGAGGCATAGAAATAATGCATCTTCTTCCAGATTGCACATAATTAATCAGTGGAGCCGCCAGGGCTTAAGTCCAACTAGCCTGACTTCACTTAGAGTGAATTTTGTTTCACTTCCAGTGACAAACTGAAAAAAAGAGCTACACTATTCCTAAATGAGTCTTTTTTTTTTTTTTTTTTTTTTTTTTGAGACGAAGTCTCACTCTGTCGCCCAGGCTGGAGTGCAGTGGCACAATCTTAGCTCACTGCAACGTCCGCCTCCCAGGTTCGAGCAATTCTCCTGCCTCAGCCTCCTGAGTAGCTGGGATTACAGACATGTGTCACCATGCCTGGCTTATTTTTGTATTTTTAGTAGAGATGGGGTTTCCCCATGTTGGCCAGGCTGGTCTCGAACTCCTGACCTCAGGTGATCCGCCTGCCTTGGCATCCCAAAGTGCTGGGATTACAGGCATGAACCACTGTGCTCAGACCTAAATGAGTCTTAAATAAGGAAAGAATTGCTTTATCATTCAGATATTTAGATATATAAATGTATTAGAAGGCATTTGTAAACCAAAAAGTATCTGAGACAGGTCTCAATCAATTTAGAAGTTTATTTCGCCAAGGTTGAGGACATGTCTGTGACACAGCCTCAGGAGGTCCTGAGAACATGTACCCAAGGTGGTCAGGGTACAGCTTGGTTTTATACATTTTAAGGAAACATAGACATCAATCAGTACTTGTAAGATGTACATTGGTTCAGTCTGGGAAGGCAGGATGACTTAAAAAAAGGGGGTGAGGGGGAGCTCCAGGTCCTAGGTGGGTTCAAAGATTTCCCAATTGGCAATTGGTTGTAAGAGTTTATCAAAAGACCTGGAATCAATAGAAGGGAGAAAAGGGAGTGTCTGGGTTAAGATAAGGGATTGGGGAAATCAGGGTTTTTATTATGTAGTTGAAGACTCTAAGTAGCAATTTACAATAAATTGTAAATGATTCTTATCAGACTTAAAAAAGTTACTAGACTCAGTTAGTTCTCTCCTGGATCAGAATAAAGACCTGGAAAGGCAAAAGAATTATCTACAGAATGTAGTTTTTCCCCACAAGAGAGAGCTTTGCAGGACCATTTCAAAATATGTGAAAGAAATATATTTTGGGGAAAAATTCTTGGGTTTCTTTTAGGGACTTCTATCTGTCATGTTGGTATCTTACTGCTACAAAGCATCAGCTTTGTCAGCCTTAAGGTTTCTGTTTTAATGTTAAATCTTGGTCAGCTGTGCTTGAATTCCAAAGGGAAGACAGTATGATGAGGCATGTCCAACCCCCACTTCCCATCATGGCCTGAACTAACTTTTCAGGCTAACTTGGGAATGTGGTTGGTCAAGTGGAGGGATCTGTTCAATTGGTTGGAGAGCTTAAAATTTTATTTTTGGTTTACATATCAATAAATAGGTTTATATTACATATCACGTATCTCAAACCCAGATGAAATGATAATTAAATGGAAAGAAATACAACAATAAAACATACAATAGAATTGATGTCACCTCTTGTTTAAATAAGGCTCTCTAATTCTGAATGCAAAAAAATAATATAACAAATATTTACACTGAGTCTCTTATTTGCCAGGCATCATATTAAGGCATTATAGGTATGATGGTGAGTGACAGAGGACCAGTTTTTGCTGTAAAGACACAGCCATTAGCCCAAACAGACATTAAGCCATATCTACTTTAATGGCTATCTAATTACTACTTGGTACTCTGAAGAGGTTTGACCAGGATACCTGACTTTTGACATTAGGATCATGGAAGACATCCTTGAGGAAGTGACATTTGTTAGAAACAAAATGCTTATTCCTTGATGCCACGAAGAAATAGCACTCAAACATTAATTTTCTCAGCAAGGCAATTTTTACTTCTATAGAAGAGTGTGACTTATAAATGGAGCAATGGCAAGAGCACACCTGAACAAGGGAGGGGAAGGGGTTCTTATCCCTGACGCAGGTAGCCCCTACTGCTGTGTTGTTCTCCTATTGGCTAAGGTTGGACTGCACAGTCTAAGCTAATTCCGATTGGCTATATTAAAGAGAGCATGGGTATGAGCCACAGTGGCAGGGTGAGCAGTTTGGTGGGAAAGACGGTTATGGAACAGGTAACTAAAAGTGACTTAGGTCAGAGCAGGTGACCAGGGGTGATTCAGGTCAAAGCAGGTGACAGGAATGAGTCAGGATGGAGCAGGTGACCAGGGGAACAGATGTGAACTACTTATTAAAACTGATGGAAAATGTTGTTTAAAACTACGAGGAAGTTAAACTTTAAAATGGAGGACAAAGAACTGAAAATACTGACATAGTGATTCTTTGAAGAAAAATCTAGAACTCACTGTATCCAACACATTGGAGCTGAGACATGAAGCTATGAGGGCAGTACAGGGGGCAAACAGTTTGGATGGGCAGGCAGGAAGATGTGATAGGAGAAAACTTCTGAAAAGGGTATATCATATATGCAAAGGCCATGTATGGACCGGAGCTGGGTCTATTGAGAGCTATCAATAATGGTTAACAGGCTGTGTCACATGAAGAGAAGAGTGAGGTAAAATGTGTCTGGGTAAAATTTCTGAGTATATATAAATATAAGATGTTGAATACCTAAAAATGTAAAATGTTTGCATGTTAAAATCAATTACTCTAAAGTACAAGTAACAAGCTGAAGAAAATATTTTTTGCAATAGTTTTAGTTACAAACAGTGTACAAATTATTCAATAACTATCCAACTCTCCAGATAAATGGACCAAAGAAATAAACAGACCACTCATCAAAGATAAAATACACAGATTTAATACATATAGGAGATATTTAATCTTACTTTTAAAAAAAAAATGAGTTTCATCAGGCTGGAGTGCAATGGCGCGATCTCAGCTCACCATAACCTCTGCCTCCCAGGTTCAAGTGATTCTCCTGCCTCAGCCTCCCGAGAAGTTGGGATTACAGGCATGTGCCACCATGCCTGGCTAATTTTGTATTTTTAGTAGAGACGGAGTTTCTCCATGTTGGTCAAGCTGGCCTAAAACTCCCAACCTCAGGTGATCCGCCCGCCTCGGCCTCCCAAAGTGCTGGGATTATAGGCATGAGCCACCATGCCCGGCCTTAATCTTACTTTTATTTAGTGGATGGATGTATCAAATTCACAAAAAATTAGTAAAGGAAATATTAATCAGGACAGGTGAAGGAGAGCTAGAATGAGTACTGTACTAGGGAGATAAAACCTCCTTTTCGAAAGCATTTTGGCAGTATATAGCAAAGTCCTTACATAATGTAAACACTTCACCCTGATATTCTATTTTATTTATCAATTGACCCATCTTTCCAACCATTCATTAAAATCTAACTGGGCAACCACTATATCCAGACAATAAGGAAAAAAATCTCCATTAAAGAAATAAATGGAATAATGGGTGGAATTTGAATATAAGAAAGGGCACTTAAGAAAAAGCCTGGGCGACAGAGTGAGACTCCATCTCAAAACAAAAAAAAAAAAAGAAAAATACATTATTTTTTACAAGTTGACACCCAAGGGATCTCATGCAATATTTACATTATAAATAAAGTAGACCTAATATATGTATGTGAATAACTTACAAACACTCTCTCTCCCTCTCTCTCTCTCTCTCTCTCTCTCTCTCTCAAGGGGGAATAGATACATTTTTGTAGTTATTTATTTTACTGACTTAAGCAATATCAACCATAAAGAAATACTAGGAAAATAAATGGATGTTCAGTTTCACTTTATCAAGGGCTCTTTTGAAAACAGAATTAAATGTTGTATTATTTTTCTTTCTTTTGAAAAATATTTTGTGTGTGAAGGCAGAATCTAAACTAGTTACTGGAAAAAAAATGTTTCCTATTGCCTGGAGTAAATTATATGTTTAAGTACACGGAATGACATTCTTGCTAGATGGAATGACATTCTTGGTAGTCAGTTTGTTTCACATTTATTCTCTACAGAGAATAACAAATTTCAATCATTTGGATTTACAGGGTAAAACAAAAGAGAACATCAATCTCTTTTAAATCCTTCAGTGTTGAACTGTACGGAATTTAAAAGAGGGTATGTGTTTCCTTGTGAAAGCTTTAACTGGACTACTTGAGTTCTCATAATTTATCTATGTCATCAGCACTCAATTGACAATTTGGAATTCGAGTAATTCCATAAAATGATCTAGATACAGGAAAAAATATGAAAATGGATTTTCCTTTAAACCTTCCTCGTGCCTGAGCTTCCATTTCCATTTAAGCTGACAGCATAGTCCAGACTCACATCACTTCATTCTTGGATTATTATGAAACCTAAACTGCTTTCTCTCCATTCAATCTGCTTTGCATAATATCACCAGATTAATTTTGCTAAAATGTATTCTTTTTATTATGTCACTATCCTGCTCAAATGCTCTCTATCATGTACAGGATGAAATTCAAATTATTTTGAAAGACATTCATAATTTCCTCCCCTCTAGCCATAATCTGCCTTCCTTAACTTGTCTCCCACTATTCATTAGCATGAATCTCCAATCTTTATGTTTCTCTCCTGTCTCAGTGCATTCTCATTTTGTGTCTTTGTAGTACAGCTCTGTTCTTCATGAATGTTGTATTATTTTTTATTGTTGCTGTAATAAATTTCCAAAAATTCTGTAGCTTAAAACATCACAAATGTATTATCTTACAGTCCTGGAGGCTACAAGTTGACTTATGCCTCACTGTGTTAACATCAAGGTGTTGGCAGGACTGCTCTCCTCCTGGAGGCCCAACAGGATAATCTGAATCCAGCTTCCAGAGCCTGCCTGCATTTTTAAGCTCGTGGCCCCTTCTAGCTTCAAATCCAGAAATGGCTGATTGAGTCTTCCTCACGTTGCAGCACTCTGACTATTCTGCCTCACCCTTCCACATTCAAGGACCTTTTGATTACACTGGGTTCACACAGACTATCCAAAATAATCTCTCTATTTTCACATTAGCTATTTAGCATCAATTTATTCCATCTGCTCCCTAATTTACCTTTGCCTTGAAAGGTAACATATTCACAGATTCTGAAGGTTAAGGCATGATCACTGGGAGGTGGAGTGGGGAATTATTCTGCCTAGCACAGATAATATGACCATTTTCTCTTCCTTTATAAACTATAATTTTTTGGTTATTTTTCAATGCCCAGTTCACCTCTTCTATGAAGCTTTCTCAGATAGCAGTTAACCACAGTGGTTTCTCTTTCCTCTGAAGTTTTATAAACAGTACCATGCTTATACACTGACAAGAGTGGCTCCTGTTTTGGTCTTGTTCATTAAAAAGCCCCACTTTGGCCCGGCCCGGTGACTCACGCCTGTAATCCCAGCACTTTGGGATGCCAAGGAAGGTGGATCATGTGGTCAGGAGATCAAGACCATCCTGGCCAACATGGTGAAACCCTGTCTCTACTAAAAATACAAAAATTAGCTAGGTGTGGTGGCGGGCACCTGTAGTCCCAGCTACTCAGAAGGCTGAGGCAGGAGAATCGCTTGAACCAGGGAGTCGGAGGTTGCAGTGCGCCGAGATCGCACCACTACACTCCAGCCTGGGTGACAGAGAGAGACTCTGTCTCAAAAAAAAAGAAAGCCATGCTTTGGCACTGAGATGATCTTGGGCCTCCTCAAAAGCAGAGTTGACTTGGTAGAGGGACCTCCATTTTCCTCTTACCCAGGACCATCATAAATGGTAAACTTACCCATAACATTCTTTATTGTGAAATAACTAATTCTAATATAGATTTTGTGTGGACATAATGAGAGTATTTTTTTGTTTTTATTTTTTAATATTATGGGATGTTTTTCTCATCTCTACTGGGAAGTAGTTAGACATAGTTCTCCAAGGATCGACATATGGGTTTTGTTTTTTTTTTTTTTTTTGAGATGGCGTCTCACTCGGTTACCTAGGCTGGAGTGCGATGGTGACATCTTGGCTCACTGCAACCTCCACCTCCTGGGTTCAATTGATTCTCCTGCTTCAGCCTCCCGAGTAGCTGGGATTATAGGTACACGCCACCACGCCTGGCTAATTTTTGTATTTTTAGTTGAGACGGAGTTCCACCATGTTGGCCGGGATGGTCTTGAACTCCTGACCTCAAGTGATCTGCCTACCTCGGCCTCCCAAAGTGCTGGGATTACAGTTGTGAGCCACCATACCCAGCCCAGATTCAGTATGTTCTGTGGACAAAAAATTTTAGAAACTTTGGGTAACATTCTATGACTCTGACCCTCCTAGAATAAGCCTTGAATATTTGAGTCACTGGTTATGAATGTGTCAAATCCTAAGTGCATTTATCCTGTTGAAATAATAGGGATAAGAGTAAATATTTTTATACAAAGGTGTTCATTGTTACATTATCTCCCAAGTCAGAATAATATAAATGTATAAATAAGGGATAGTTAAATTCCAAAAGAGGAATAACAATATTATGCAGCCATTAGAAAGTATATTCTTGGCCGAGCGCAGTGGTTCACACCTGTAATCCCAGCACTTTGGGAAGCCGAGGCGGGCGGATCACTTGAGGTCAGCAGTTCAAGACCAGCCTGGACAACAATGGTGAAACCCCGTCTGTACTAAACATAAAAAAATTAGCCGGGCGTGGTGGTGCACACTTATAGTCCCAACTACTTGGAAGGCAGAGGCACCGGAATCGCTTGAACCCAGGAGGTGGAGGTTACAGTGAGCCCAGATCGTAGCACTGCATTCCAGCCTGGGTGACAGAGTGAGACTAGATCTCTAAATAAATAAATAAATAAATAAATAAATAAATAGTATATTCTTAAAGATTATGTAACAATGCAGGAAATAGTTATTTATAAATATATTTATATTCTTTAAAGAAAAAGCATGACATAAAGCTATATAAAATAATTTCAAATCAAAAAAGAAAGTTTATATTTAAAAATAGAACTGGAAAGAAGTAAATTAAAGTAGTGAAAGGGGTTATACCAAGGGTGGGATTGTAAGAGATTTTAAAATATTTTTATACCTTTTCTTATTTTTCATATCAGTTCTAAATTAAACATATTTTTAGCTTTTGATAAATTATCTTAATTTATAACATATATGATCAAAATACACAATATGATTTTAAATTTGTAACAAAATTTGTTGCCTCCAGAAAACATTAAGTTCAAGAAATATTTACTAGACATTTCCTAAGCACAGCATGCCGCACTACACGATAATATATAAGACACTGTCCCTGTCCTTAAGGAGCTCATCCTTAATAAGAAATTATACAAATAAATAACTAATCACAATATTGAGTAATGATGGTAATATAGGTGGTATGTACATATACAGTACTCTCTCAGAGGGGGAAACAGTAATTCTTTTTAGGCTGTGGCCAGGGAAGGCTTCATAGGGGAGGTGACATTTGAGAAGAATTTTTTTAAATAAATGAGATTTTGCTAGTTTCTAATGAATAGAAATGTATTCTATAACTGTAATTGATTTATATAACACAACATTGAATGTGAAATATAGAATTCTTCCATGAGATAGAAGAGCATAATTCTATTTTATGTCCTGGAACTTCTGGATTTCTTGTTGTGGTCATTGTCTCTCTGTCAGCTGGAACACTGTAATAATAGTATATTTAGCACTTCATTATGTTACATTTCAAAAGGCAAGAATGCACTAGCATATTTTAGCCCAAATTATCCTGAAATCCAGCTTAGTACATTTATGTTTGAGTAGATTCATTGACAGGTCCAACAAATGAATTTAATTTTTTGTGCAAATTTTGAATAAGGGAGACCTTAGGATCTTCATATTGCTCTGGTTAGTAGCTCTACAAATACTTGGAAAAAACCCCAGAGGATTTTAAGTAAAATAATGATTTTAAAATATCAGATTGATTGCATTAGTACTACTAGCAATCCTACTACATTTCTCAGGTCACCCACTCTCTCTTTCCCTTTCTCTTTCTTAATTGGGAAATATTTAAACATCCCCATCTCCCCTTAGATCTCAGACACCTCTTTGTTATTCTCTTTCTAGGTTGATGACCTTACACTCACCACCTCATTTACACATTCGTCTGAATCTGTACCCATATACTCTGCCATCCTTCATAGTACCATGGATGAACAGTCCATTTTTCAATATAACCTCAAGCCTGCCTGGGCAGGTCACAGCCCTTCCCTCTTCCTGAAGTATATTACTCTAGTATTATCCATTGTTTCTCTGCATCTTCAATTTTTCTACGTTAATATTAACCATCAGTCTCAACAGTTTCAATACTTTCTCTCATCTTAGAAAAGCAAAAACCCTCTTCTGGTCTCACATTCTACTCCAGCTGTCACCCACATGTTTTCTTTCTTCAAAAGTAAAACCCCTCAAATGAGTTGCGTGTGCTCACTCTCTCTCTAACAGCTCTTCTCCCATCCTCACATGGAAGCACCCCAGCTGAGCTTTTCATCTCCACTACTTCGCTGAAACAGCTCTTGTCAACACCACCATTGTCATCCATGTTGTTTATGTGAAAACTTAATTTTCATTACTCATCATACTCCATCTATCAGCAGCTGATGAACACCTTCCCAGTGACCCACTTTCTTCATTTGGCTTCCAGATTGCCACTCTCTGCTGATTTTCATCTTACTTTATGGCTGCTCCTTCACAGCTTTTTGCTGATATCTTATTTTATCATGACCTTTAAAGTTCAGTTTCCCCAGGGCCAGTTCTTGGACAATTTCTCTTCTCAAGTCACACTCATTCCTCTGGGGAGCTCGTAAATTTCACAGCTTTACATAACATCAATATGTTGATGGTACACAAATTTATATATTCAGTCTACACGTATTTCTTGAACTCAAGTCTCTTACTATCAGCCTAGTAACCCTGAAGTTTCTTTAAAAATGCAGATCAGCTAATGCCCTTTCTCTGCTAAAAATTCACCCATGGATTCCCCGTCTCTCACAATAAAAGCCAAACACCTCTCAATGGCCTCTAAAGCCTCATCTAAGCTGGTTCTCCCATTGCCTCTGTCTTGTTTTCTTCCACTCTTCCTATCCATTCAGCCATCCTGATCTTCCTTATGTTCTTTAAACTTGGCAGGTGTTCTCCAGGCTTAGGGCATTTGAACTTACTGTTCCTCCAGATATCTTTGACTCAAACTCCAGCTATTTAAGGTCTTTAAATTTTCTCTTCTGAGTAAGGCTTCATCTTCTTCATCATATAACTCTCACTGCTTCATCATATGTCCCTTTTCCTGTTTTGCTTTTCTTCACAGTACTTATCATTGTCTTACATGGTGTATATTTTAACTATATATTTATTATCTATCTCCCTTCACTACATAAAGTCCATGAGAGGAGGAATTTGTGTCTGTTTTGCTGTTTGCTGCTGTACTTCCAGCATATAGCACTTGGCAAATAATGCATGTTCGATATATTGCTGGTTCACAAAGTGTGGTACCCAGAAACTTCAGAATAACCTGGAAGCTTTTAAGAAATGTGTTAGAAATGTCAATTCTTGGGCTCTGCCACAGTCCTACTAAATTTGAAACTCTGGGGATGGGCACCCACAGTCTGTTTTGACAAGCTCTCCAGGTGATTCTTATTTCTGCTGTCTGAGAATCACTGTGATGAATATTTGTTAAATGAGAGAAGAAGTGAGAAAATTTTTATTCTTGTTACCCTTTTGACAAATATAGTAATCATGACAATGTTGGGGTTAAGGTGTCATATAAATAATAAGTAAAATTACTTTGTAGAATTTTTCTGATAAGATTCATAATCTAATAAAAAAGTTCCAGTTTGTCATTTAGAAAATGAAAAATATACATTATGCTAAGACATGAATCCAAATCTATTGAAAAGTAGTAGATTTAGATAACCATAATTGATTCTATAGAATTAATTTATGGTTTTAATTCTATTTTAGTGGAAACTTCTGTTAAAAATTGTTCCAAGAACTCTGTCCTATGATTTAAAAATTTAACAAAGCTGTTATGAATCAGTTTACTTCTCTTGGTCTTTCCCTATTCTTAGACTCTCAACTTTAATTTCATTAACTCAAATTGCTCTATGTCCTCTAAATCCAATCACATCACATGTATACATCTACCTCACATTTGATGCCTGGGATACACTCTGTCCTGTTAATGAGATAAGGCTGATAGTGTATAGTCTTCCCTTTGAATCCACAGGGGATCAATTTCAGAACCCCTTGCAAATACCAAAATCGTGAAATGCTCAAGTCTCATAAAATAAGGCATAATATTTGCATATAACTTACTCATATTCTACTGTACACTTTAAATAATCTTTAGGTTACTTAAAATACATAATACCATATAAATATTATGTAAATAGTTGTTGTACTGTATTGCTTTTTTATTTGTATTATTTTATTGTTGTATTATTTCAAAAAATTGGTTGAGTCTGCAGATGCAGAACCCATGCAGATACAGAACACTGATTCTATTTTAGGTTGTGAAATATGACGTATTTTGTGATTATGAAGCAAGCTAATAACTCCCTCCCTTAGTGTCTATGAATGAAGTTACTATGATTGTTTCTAAGATAAACAAGTATCTGTTAGCTCAAGACAAACCCAGTTTATGCTTGATGTTGCAATGTAAAATAGCATCCATCATCATTGAAAGGGTCCTGGTTTTATGATAAATTGTATGACCATCCTATGTATATGTAATACACAATATAGTTACATATACACATATATATAATAATAATATTATGTATTAATATATATACTACCCTTAGTCTACATTTTTAAATAATGTATAAAGAATATTAAATAATATTGTATATTAAAAATTTGCTAAAAGAATAGATTTTAGGTGCTATTAACACATGCTCACACATATAAACCATAATACGTGACTGTGTTAGGTAATGGATATGTTAATATGCTTAACTATAGTAATCATTTCACTAGCTATATGTATATCAAAACATATTGTATGCCTTAAGTATATACAATAAAAATCATTCCTATAAAATTTACAATAATGATAAAGGGTGAAAAAAGAATATGAAAAACCAAGGTTCTAATTATCTCTAATATTCACTAGAAATATTAACTTTGAAAAAAGTTATTCAAAAAATCCAGATATACATCCTTTTAATACTATAGTGAGAAAGAAAAAATTTTAAGATTATGTTAATAAAGATGAATACTATATGACCTTATGTATTTTCCTAAGAATTTTCACTTACTAATTTTATATTTTGTTTATATTAGATTTCATTAAAGTATCTTCCAGTTTGAATAATGTATGTCAGTATAAATTTTCATAGTTCCCATATATCTCAATCAGGATTTTATGATATTACTACAACAGAAAAATGAAATTACAAATAAATTATTTTGACTGAATTATTTTCCTTCATTGAGCCAGGTAATCCTACCAATCCTACTATTTATTTGACATTATGAAGATTTAATCTCAGACCTCAGGACTTTAAAAAGGGTCAATAGCTGTGTGCAGTAATTATCATTAGGTGTGATTAAAATTTCTGGATTTAATAAACTGGTTTTCCACAGGAATTTTTGACTTGCATCATGTTTTTGGGCCAAACTAAAATGTATTGAAATATAGGATGAAACAAAGTAAATAAGATAAATTAATTTATCATCCTAAGTAAATACATGAATAAGTTTGTATACTTTTCCTTTAAAAATTCAGATCTTACATGAAAATTATACATTACTACAAACCAGATTTTGCCAACACATGGCTATTTCTTTACAATAATTTTTAAGGTCTTCTGGCTTTTTAAAATTTCATTTCCTTTTGAATATGAATTTGTTGAAAACTTGAAGTTTATTAATGGAGTCCTGTGTTCTAGACTTTGCTATCATGTATTGTTTTAATTTTAAAAATACGTGTTAGTTGCCAGGAATGTCGTATATGTAAGATAATCTATATTGAGATTTTTAACAATTACTTTGATTATCTGATCAATAGTATAGTTCATTCAGACTACACAATCTTTGTACAAAGATGTTGGTTTACTTGATTCATTCTCTTAATTGTTTTGACTCTGCATTTAGTCTATATAATCAGCCTGTTTCTGGCAGTCTATTCATTACAGTTGTGCTGGCATCCACTCTGACTGCCATACCCAGAACAACTGTGTGGCATTCCGCATGTATAACAAAAACAGCTGGAGTAAACACACTGACCTTCTCTTGACACCCCATGTAGGCGGTTTGTATACATAATCATGGCCACAGCCTGCTTGGCTTGTTCAAGGTCATATAACAAGTGTGGGTTTAGTTACAACTTGGAGCCCTTCAGTTTCTAGCCTGGGGTTGATCTTAAAAAAGCCAGTCCAAACTACTATTTTTTCCTTCATAAATGCTGTAAAAATAGTCTTAGTTTAATAAAGTACATACTTTTTATGAAAAAAAAGTTATACTAGTCTAAGGGTACTCCCTTTAATGAGTTGCTTTACAATTGGGATGTACATACTTTTAAGAGCTATTTTATTTTATTCTAGGCCAGAAGGCCCATCATGTTGGTGCATCTTCATTGACTATCAATTTTACTCCATTAGTTGGTGGAAAATAAGAAAAAACAAAAATAATATTTGAATAGTATGTAAAATCCATACACAGTTTTAAAAATATGAGCCTTCAAAAACATTAAATTTTGAGTGTCTGGTTTTAGGCTAAACAATCAGACACTTCAGGAGCAGAAGCTTCTTCTATTCTAGGTACCAATTATGGGTATTTTGGTGGAAAAGTTTGAGACTAGAAAATCTCAATGTCAGAGATTTTTTCCATCTTATTTAGCAAGTTATATACTTCTGCATGTTACATGTATTCTCTCAGAGAAAAGGTAGCCCTAAATAAAAATTGTTTTCTGTCTGTATTGAAACAAATCTCAACTGTCTTCTAATCTATTAAAAATAGCCTCTTTCAGTAATTAAAAAAGACGTATTTTATAATAAAATAGTTTTTAGTAAATAAAATATATGTATTTTATATTAAAATAGGCTTTTTCAGTAAATAAAAAAATATATATATAATTATATATGTGTATATAGCTTAATGACTAGCTATACTGTGTGGCTGTTTAGTTCAGTATTTTTAAAGCAGGAAACCAAAACAAGCAAACAAAGCTTATAGTCACATAGTTTTTTTTTTTTTTTTTAACTTCCAGAGGCTATGTCATATACTTATATAAAAGGATTCTGAACAAAGTAAATGCTCAGTAGCCTTTTGCAAATGGATACATTGTGGAATACAGGCTTGAGACCTGACTATTAAATCTTACAGACTGAATTAATTAAAGGCCCCTGAGTGGTATACTCTGGAATAGATTCAGTTTTTAAAAAGTAAAGCAGAATTTTGAGGGCTTCAGGTACAATTTTCATAATTGCCCTGGGTCTCAAGGCTGGTCTATTAGTTGGACCAGTCCAAGTTCACTTTATTTACTGGGGAATTTATTGATGTGTTTGTGAGAAATATACATTTCACTGTCATTTCTCAAAATACACAGGGGATTTTTTCCTTGAGCCTATAATACCAATAGATACAGATTTTTGAAACACTACTGCACCATTCCTCTAATGTATATTAGAGTGAGCTTCAGACATACTTGCATTTGTTTTCTGAGTAAAACTATTGGAATATAATATCCTCTCCCCAAACTACCCCCTGGCCCCCAAATAAACCAAATCTTCAGATAAAATTGGTAGCACTGAAATTGAGGATATCTAAAAACAGCAACCTGTAACCTTGGGAATTTTGAGTGATATAAATACAATGACTGAAAGCATTTTTTAACCACAGAATTTTTGCCTTTTATACTTAGACAGTTGCAAGGTTGTTGAGTTGCTCTCTTTGTGGTCCATACCAAAATGCTTATGTTTGGGAACTACACAATTCACATTTTATGACTTTTTTTTTTCCTTTTTCTCAAATGAATCACTATTTGTAACTAACTTGTAATTTCTGATTCAATTCCCAGCCAAACAGGCAAACACACTTTCTGAATAGTGATAGAAATTCTATACCTGTTTATTTACTATCTGTTTGTCAATGAGTCAGAAACCGACAATTTTTTATACATACCTTCTGGATTGATTTAGCATTCTGAAAAAATTTCCTGTCTGTCTTTCAAATGTAAGAAAACTGACTTCAGTATTTTCAGTCTTTCCCGTCTGATACAGAAACGATATTGTGTATTTCACAGAGAAAATAATGCCTTTTCTATCACATTAAATCTTTCTGACTTATCACAAAAACCTGGTTTTGGTTACATCATCCCTCAAACTTGCCTGTTTCTGGGGAAACATGCCTATTCTAATTAGCAGTAAATCAAAAGTTCTTTCTTTCTGATAGAACAAGACTGTGAAATAAATTGTGATTTGGTGCGCTGTATCAGCAAGCATCAGTGATTAGGAAGACGGGCTGACAAGGCCATTAAGACTGCCCCAAGGAAACTCCACCCATTTAAAGAGAGACTGGGGGTGGGGGACTCCATTTTCTGTGGTTTTACGGCTGATCACTGTTTCCTCATATGAAATTCACCATAATTGACAACCAGACTGGTAATACACAGGATGCGTTAGTCTAAATATTTGAAGGTGCTTTTTTTTTTTTTTTTGTAATCTAATGAAGCAGGACTTTTGGAATTGAATCAACAGGAACATGAGGTCATAGTTACAAGCAACAACTGAAAACATAAAAATAAATGGGAAAAGGCTATGCTCCTCTGGAGAAAAGAGGAATTTGATGTGGATTATTCTGTTAAATGCACACTTAGATTTAGCAAAAAG
The DNA here is from genome assembly GCF_000001405.40 of Homo sapiens. Lineage (NCBI taxonomy): Eukaryota > Metazoa > Chordata > Mammalia > Primates > Hominidae > Homo > Homo sapiens. The sequence continues at coordinate 52,704,439 of NC_000010.11, forward strand.
CTGTACAAATAATTAGCCTGAGTTACCTGGCTTGTCTGGCTATAGTTGCCAAAGTCATAAGTTGAACAATTCTCCAATTTACTTTATTTGTGTGGATAGCCCCCACATTATAATAGATCTTGAAAATAATTTTTTTGTGTGTGCAGCTCATCTAGGTAAACTCTGGTTAGTTATAAATCTAAATTAATTTTAAAATTATGAACAATAGTGATAATACATCAAGGACATAGAGGACAATATTGATAAATATAGAAACCACTAGTCTTTAGTAATTAAGAAGTGATTTGCAAGAAATCAGAGAACACATATTGTGTGTCTCATTGGACTCAGTGAACATATTAAGAATAAATGAGTGGACATCTGAGAAATATTTGGTAGACTAGTTGAAGTCTTTGCTCTCCTTCTTTCTCTTTCATCTCTTTATCAAACTCTAAGTACTTTCTGCTATGGACTATATGCACTCTCCTCTATAGTTTTCAGCACTGGTACATGTAAATTTAAACTGAAGTCATTAAAAATACTTTAGTCCAGGGCCTTAAAACAGCTAATACAAAGGCAGGGTGTGGTGGCTCACGCCTGTAATCCCAGAACTTTGGGAGGCCGAGGCGGGCAGATCACGAGGTCAGGAGATCAAGACCATCCTGGCTAACACGGTGAAACCCCGTCTCTACTAAAAAAATACAAAAAAATTAGCCGGGCGTGGTGGTGGGCACCTGTAGTCCCAGCTACTCAGGAGGCTGAGGCAGGAGAATGGCATGAACCCGGGAGGTGGAGCTTGCAGTGAGCTGAGATCACGCCACTGCACTCCAGCCTGGGTGACAGAGCGAGACTCCATCTCAAAGAAAAAAGAAAAAAAAAAATGGTTAATATTGCAAGAACCTTGTATTTCTTCACCATTGCCCTAGCCCCTGGAGCAGTGTGTAGCAGGACGTTGCAGAAACATCATAAACTCATTCATTTTAACAAAAATTTAGTAAAGACCTGCTATGTTCCAGGTACTGTTCTAGGCAATAGAGATAAAGCAATAAACAAAACAGATAAAATGTATGAATGAATCAATAGGTATATTACTAGAGTATTCAGTGGACAGGTTTGAGATAAACTCAATTCTTTCAGGGAATTTTCTTTTTTAATGTCTGAATTTTCACAACTACAAGCAAATGAATGCACATAAATGTATTCAGAACTTGTAGGTCTGCGGCATCACCTGCTAAAAGGAATACAAGGCCTGATAAAATAGAATCTAGATCCTATTATTGTTTCTAACGATATTGGTAGTGATGAGATATTAGACAAGGCATGGAATATGTCGTTATAAGGAAAACAGCACCTGGAGGCAAATGGTTTCAAACACGGCACTTCAAATTTACTCATCCCCTCTGTTACTTAGTTTTCTTGGGAATACAATGTTAAGTAATAATCACTGTTTCATTAGATTGGACTGAAGATTAAATAAGGCCAAAAATGAAAATTGAGTGAAGTTTTAAAAAGCACGTAATGCTTTTTTTTTTTTTTTTTTTTTGATACAGGGTCTCACTCTATTGCCCAGGCTGGAGTGCAGTGGCATGATCTTGGCTCACTGCAACCTCCTCCTCCCAAGTTCAAACGATTCTCCCACCTCAGCCTCCTGAGTAGCCGAGAGTACAGGTGCAGGCCACCACTCCTGGCTAATTTTTGTATTTTTAGTAGAGATAGGGTTTCACCACGTTGGCCAGGCTGGTCACGAACTCCTGGCCTCAAGTGATCCACCTGCATCAGCCTCCCAAAGAGTAGGGATTACAGGCGTCAGCCACCACGCAATGCATTTTAATTAATAGATATGGTTACATTAATTTTCCTTCTATTTCTCCTCAGCTTTGATTCCCTCATCTGTGAAACAATGAAGGTAGACTAGCATTTCTGCCACCTTTCTCACAGCCCACATTTTCAAAATATTCTAGGCCTATAAGCCTTGCTGATTATACTGGGATCCCTGACAAGGAACACTTACTGCATTTTAAATAAATATATATTCCAGAGAAACGTAATGACTTGTTGCAGTTTTCTTGGCTTTTATTTTCAGACCATAGAAATGATTCAGAACAATGATGTGATAATAGTCTGTGGTTTGCTACTCATAGTTCTGAGGTACATTTTTCTCAATCTGCTGCTTTAGTGGATACCATGCTTTTGTTTTTGCTTTTGTTTTTCTCTAAGCATATGAAATGCTCAAGCCTATTTTTCAGAAACCTTATTTATTTTTTTGAATGGATAGTTTCAGCTCATGGAATTTGTTAGTCCACCCCTCATTACATTGCTTCTGACTTTGAATGATGGAGGAAATAGCTTTGGGTGGGTAGCCAGCCAGTCTGACTAGGCCATTGGGCACAGGCTCCCTGGTCACTGGGATCACTAACGCCTAATGCTTCTCTAATTATAGACATGTCTCATTCCTGGCTATTTAACGGCCTCACCGCAGGGAGTGACTCCACATCCTGACTGGAAGCCTACCTTCATTAGCTTAAACTGTACATCATAACCCTCTAGTTTTGCAATAACCCAAGGGACCCTCCCTCCCAGGATGGTGGCACTGTGACAATGCTGGTATTTTAACATGGAGGCAGATGATAAGATTTATGACTTCCAGCTTTAAAATGAAAAAGGTAAAACTCTATATGATATTTTCAAAAGAAGTCGTCTATGCCGATAATGGAGAAGATGCAGGGAGTTTGTTCTGCCCATTTTCTTCTTAAAAGTGTCCTTTCCTTCCTAAGTTAAGCAAGGCCTATAGTAAGACTCTCAGTGCTACTGAAGTTGAATAAGAATGGAGACTTTAAAAACAAACGAGCCTGTAAAGAGACTTAATAACTGATTCAAGGTGTAATACCTACAAGTGAAAGAATTATCACTTAAATTAGAACGTTGATGTCCTTATTCATGCTTTGCTTTTCATAATACAATCATGGGTTGCCGCTTAAGGATGAGGATACATTCTGAGAAATGTGTTGTTAGGTGATGTTGTGCAAATGACATAGAGTATACTTACACAAACCTAGATGGTATAGCCTACTACACAGGTAGGCGATATGGTATAGCCTATTGCTTCTAGGCTAAAAACTGTATAGCATGTTACTATACTGAATGCTGCAGGCAATTGTAATACAATGCCTTGTATTTGTGTATTTAAATATAAATCAGAAAAGGTACAGTAAAATATGGTATTACGATCTTCTGGGACCACTGCTGTATGTGTAGTCTGTCACTGATTAAAATGCATTATGCAACTCATGACTATACTAATAATAATCCTTTACACCACCTTTTATGGAAAACCCTTCATATACTAAGCCCTGTGCTAAGCACTGTAGATATTTGTTATCTTCCTAGATATTCTCCCAAGCACTGCAAGGTAGGTTGTCTCCATTTGTACAGAAAAAAACTAAGGTTCAGACAACTTTAGTAAGTGGCCAAAGTCACACAACCTATGACAAGTCTGAGATTTGAACTCTGCTTTACTTCATTCTCAACCCTATGCTCTTACTCCCATTCCACGCTGCTTCCTTGAGGCTTTGTTGCTGATGATAACATAATGTCTAAGACATTTAAGAGGGCAGAGTTCTTGCCTCTGTGCTTTTGGTAATTTTGAGTCTTAAACTTCTATTACACTAATAATATAATTTTCATAACAATAATAACAGTAAGTGGTGCCTATTGAACATTTATTATGGGTCATGTACATAATACTCTTAATCTTTAAAATAATTCCTATATTTTTATCTTCAGGTGAAGATCTTGGGGCTTAGAAAGGTTACATAGATGGCATGCTGTTACACCTAGGTAATGGAGCTCACTTTCATTAATTACATTGTCTCTCATAGTAGCTCTTAATCGAATGCATTATGTTGATATGTATTTTGTGTTGTCTTCCTGGTCACACAGTGAGATTCTTAAGAGCAGGGACCACAAACCTGTATAGTTTCCTTATTGCTTAAAACTGTGTCTGGTCCATAATAAGCATTCAATAGATAGCTGTGGAATGATGACCAGTTTTACTTATGTTTGAGTCAGTCATTAACTTTTTCAATTGAACAGATCTCACATAATGGAGAAAACTGTCAGAACGTTTAGAAGCTGACGCATGAGAAATGAGTGCATGACTAAGTCATATATTATAAAATTATTGCTTTATACATTCTTCTAGTTACCATAAAACCTTTTTATTTAGCAGCTAAATCTTTCATTACTGGTTCACACTGACCACAGTGTTTTGAGAAATATTTAATACTGTAAATGGAAGTAGCAAACCAGAAAGAAATGATAATTTTATGACATATCAACAAAAAAGAAGAAAGACAATTCTCTATTCAAAACAGGGCACCTTTAAAGACTAATAGTTCTGTGAAAAGAAGGAAGATATTTTCTGTGTATTTTCCTCACCTTACTTCTAAATAATTCATACATTGTTATTTAACATGCTATAAGTGAATATTGAAGGAATAAATGAAAGAATAAAAAATTAGAGTTGCCTAATGGCATTTAATCTGACTAAAGTTAATTTTGGCTCACTCAGAATAATAACCTGTTCTGCAACTCTCAAAGCTAAAAAGGAAATTTAGGGACCCCCTAAAAGAAAAAAATATCCTCATTTAACTGGTATTTAAATGAAATGTAGAGACTTTAATTTTGCACAGCTAATTAGACCTAGAATTAGAAATCAGTTTTGGAGGCTCATTGCTAGGCATCTTGTCCACAGCAAAATAAAACTATTTATTTTTTCATAGAATTCGTAATTTTATTATATTTTCATACGTATATGTTTTAGTATTTCTTCAAAAATCTACAAAGCAATTGTATACTACCTCCAAGTCCTCATGCTGGTCCAGGCCACCATTGTCTCTAGCTAGGATTACTGCAGGAGATCCTGACAGATCTCCCTGCTTCTGGTCTTGCCAGAGTGAGTCTTTTAAACTGTAATTGCGATTATGTTGGTTCTCTGCCTCTGAACCCTGTAATGATTCTCTTTTGTCTCAGAGTAGGAGCCAATGTCCTTTCAATGGTCTGTGGGGCCCTACATGTCCCAGTGCCCATTCCTCCCTGGTTTCTTCTTCTTCTTCTTCTCCTTCTCCTTCTCCTTCTCCTTCTTCTTCTTCCTTCTATTTTTTTAGATAAAGTTTTGCTCTTGTTGCCCAGGCTGGAGTGAAATGGTGCGATCTTGGCTCACTGCAGTCTCCACCTCCCAGATTGAAGCAATTCTCCTGCCTCAGCCTCCCCAGTAACTGGGATTACAGGTGCCTGCTGCCACACCCAGCTAATTTTTACATTTTTAGTAGAGATGGAGTTTCACCACATTGGCCAGGCTGGTCTTGAACTCCTGGCCTCAGGTGACCCACCTGCCTTGGCTTCCCAAAGTGTAGGGATTACAGACCACCATGCTGGCCTCTGGTCTCATCTTCTTCTCTTCCTCTAGCCCGTTTCAGATAATCTATGCTGCCCGTTTCCTGTGACGCCTATGTGTCTGGATGTTCTTGTCTGGTATAAAGACTCGGCTGTTGCTGTGCCCTCTAATTGAAACACTGAACTCCCATAAACTGCTTGCTAACTTATATATCATTCAAGTTTTTGCTCAGATTTTTACCACTTCAGTGAAGTCTACCATAAACACTTTTATTTAATATTGTAATCTGTCTCTCAACTTCTGTCCCCTACTGCCCTGCACTCTCAAATCCTCTTACACTTCTCTTTTAATTTTTTTCATATCACTGTCACCTTCTATTCTATCATTATTTTGTTTGTTTATTTATTTATTTATTTAGTAGTCATGTTGTCTCCACTGGAATGGAAGCCTCTCAACAGCAGAGATACCCCTTTTCTATATTTCCCACTGATGTATGCCAAACATCTAAAGTAGTACTTGACACATAGAAGGTACCTTGTATATTACTTAGATGACTAAGATAAAATATAGAATTATATATATTATTAAAAAATTTTTTTTGAGACAGAGTCTTGCTATGTCGCCCAGACTGGAGCGTAGTGGTGCCATCTCCGCTCACTGTAATCTCCGCCTGCTGGGTTCAAGTGATTTTTCCTGTCTTAGCCTCCAAGTAGCTGGGATTACAGGCACATGCCACCATGCCTCGCTAATTTTTGTATTTTTAGTAGAGACAGGGTTTCATCATGCTGGCCAGAATGGTCTCGAACTCCTGACCTCAAGTGATCTGCCTGCCTCGGCCTCCCAAAGTGTTGGGATTACAGATGTGAGCCACCATGCCCAGACAATATATATATATATATTATATATATATATGTATATAAAATGGTGTTGGATATAAAATATCTAATTTACTCATTAATGTAATAATTTGAACAAATACATTTATCATATGGGAATAAATGCAGTATCTTTTTTAAAAAAATTAACTGGTATTCTAGCCAGAGACAGTATAACATTTGATCTTTTAAAATATAGCAATAGCAAATATTAATAGACATAAATATATTTACTCAGTTCTTAATATTTGTTTTTTCCAAGAGTTTAAAAATTTTCCTGTTCTTCTTGTTATTGATTTCTAGTTTATTCCATTGTAATTATATAACTCACTCTGTACAATTTCAATTCTTTTAAAAATGTTAATGTTGGTTTTATGACCCAAGATGTGGTCTATCTTGGTATATGTTTCATGGGTGCTTGAAAATCATGTCAATTCTGGTGTTCTGTAAATGTCAATTAAATCCTATTGGTTGATGGTATTGTCCAGTTCTTCTGTATTCTTGTGGATTTCTGTCTAGTTGTTCTATCAATTGTTTATTGATGAATGTTGAAGTCTACAAATATAATCGTGGAGTTGTCTATTTCCTCTTCAAGTTGTATCAGTTTTGCTTCATGTATATTATAGCTCTGATGTTTGGTGCATTTAGGTCTATACATCTTCTTGGTAGATTGACCTTTCTATCATTATGTAAGGTCCCTGTCTTTCTGGTAATTTCTTTACTTTGAAGTCTACATTATTAATCTAGTCCCTCCCGATATCTTTTGATTAATATTTGCATTGTGTATCTTTTCCATCCTCTCTCTTTCAACTTGCTTATATCCTTATATTTGATGTGAATTTCCTGTAGACCACACATAGTTGGATCATGTTTTTAAATCCATTCTGTTAACTTCTGTCTTTTTTTGTTTGTTTGTTTTTAGATGGAGTCTCGCTCTGTCGCCTAGATTGGATGGCAGTGGTGTGATCTTGGCTCACTGCAACCTCTGCCTCCCGGGTTCAAGCAATTCTCCTGCCTCAGCCTCCTGAATAGCTGGGATTACAGGCACACACCACCACGCCCAGATAATTTTTTTGTATTTTTAGGAGAGACCAGGTTTCACCATGTTGGTCAGGCTGGTCTTGAACTCCTGACCTTGTAATCTGCCCATCTTGGCCTCCCAAAGTGCTGGGATTACAGGTGTGAGCCACCACACCCGGAAATCTCCATCTTTTAATTGGTGTACTTAGACCATTTACACTTAATGGAAGGATAGATATATTAGGCCTTAAATCTGCATTTTATTTTTTTCTTCTGTTTTATTTTTCATTTTTCTGTTTTGTTTTTGATGGCTTTCTGTAAGTTAATTAAATTGAACATTTTTTAGAATTTTATTTTGATTTATCTATAATGTCTTAGGTATGATATTGTATATACATATTTTATCACAGCCTATTGGTATCAACATTTTACCAACTCAAGTGAAATATGAAAATCTTACTTTTCTTTACCCTCTCCCACTCATAATTGTCTAACATATTTCCTCTACATACATTGTGAATCACATTAAACAGCATTATAATTATTGCTTCAACTATTAAACAAAATTTAGAAACCTTAACAGAAAAGGAAATGTATTTTTACTTTTTCTGTTTTTTTTTTTCTTCATGATGTTCTAATATCTATTTTTCTTCTGTTTGGAGAACTTCCTTTAACCATTCTTCTAGAATATGTTTGCTAGTGACAAATTGTCTTAGCTTTGCTTCAATGAAAATGTCTTGATTTCCTCTTAATTTGTAAGGGTGTTCTAACTGGATATAGATTTTTGGATTAATAGTTATTTTTTCCAGCACTTAAAAAATTCTATGCTACTTTCTTCTGGCCTCCATGGTTTGTGATGACAAATCTGTTATCATCCTAATTATCTTTCCTCCTAAAGAAAAGATCTCACTCTTCTCTCCCTGCTTTCAAAATATTTACTTTGTTGTTATTGTTCAGAAGTTTGACTATGATGGTGGCTTTGGTGTGATTTCTTTGAGTTTACCCTGTTAGTTTTTCACTCTGCTTCTTGAATTTGTTGGTTTATGGCTTTTGCCAAATTTGAGAATTATTAGCCATTATTTCTTTGAATATATTTTCAGCTCTTTTTTCTTTCTCTCTCCTTCTTGGACTTTGATGACAGTACTATTAGACCTTTTGTTGTAGTCTCACAGGTCCCTGAGGTGGTATTCTTCTTGTCATTTTGTTTTTGTTTTTGAGATGGAGTCTCGCTCTGTCACCCAGGCTGGAGTGCAGTGGCGCAATCTTGGCTCACTGTAACCTCCGCCTCCCAGGTTCAAGCGATTCTCCTGCCTCAGCCTCCTGAGTAGCTGGGACTACATGTGCTTGCCAGCATGCCTGGCTAATTTTTTGTATTTTTAGTAGAGACGAGGTTTCACCGTGTCAGCCAGGATGGTCTCAATCTCCGAATCTCGTAGTCCGCCTGCCTCAGCCTCTCAAAGTGCTGGGATTACAGATGTGAGCCACCGCACCCGGCCTTTCTTGTCGTTTTTTTATTTTGTCTCTGATCTTCAGATTTGGTAATTTCTATTGCTTCACTCTTAAGTTCCCTGATGAGTCTTTCTTCTGTCCTTTGTATTCTATTGTTGAGGCCATCCATTGAATTTATTTTTAAAGTCTTCTTTATTATATTCTTCCATTTTAAAGTTTTTATTTGTGTTTTTAAATACCTTCTATTTTTCTTTATTTTGATTGCTGAAACTTTCTATTTCTTCGTCAACATTTTCTCTTTTAAAAAATTTGTTTCAGTAATGTTTGTATTGCTCATTGAAATGTTTTATTATGGTTGCTTTAAAATCCCTCTTAGATAATTCTAATATCTATGCCACCTTGATGTTGCATCTATTGATTGTCCTTTCTCATTCATGTTGAAATTGTCTTGTTTCTTGGTATACGGAGTGATTTTTCTATTGAAATCTAGACAATTAAGTTATTATAAGACTCAGTGTCTTTTTTCAATGTTCTGTTTCAGCAGGTTTCCTCTGATATCATTCTGGCAAGAGAAAGGTAGACATCGCCTTTCACTGCCAGGTGGGATGGAAATCCAAATTTCTCACTCAGCCTTCATTTGCAGGAGGGCCTCTTGGTTACTGCTGGATGGAGGTGGAACTTCTGGCATCCCAGTTAACCTCTGCTGATACCAGCCTGGCTAGGAGGGTCAGGGATGCCTTGTTACTACTTCTCAAGGGTCTTCCACTGACACCATGAGGTAGTATGGTCTTTATTACTGCTGAGTATAGTGAAAGTTCTGACTCTCTATTAGCTCTCCTTTGACACCACTCTGGTAGTGGGACAGGGTGTTTCTACTGCAATGTAAGAATGGAAGTCCAGTTTTCTCATTTAACATCCTTGCATGTGTGGGCTTGTTCTTTCCCTGTGGATGTAAAAGTCCTGGATATCTACTGAATCTTCTCTGACACCACTCTGGCGGGGAGGTTGGAGTATCTCATTGTGCCTAGAGAGGGTAAAAGCTACATTTACACTCAGTCTTGGTTGTTTGGAGTTGGGAGTAGGGCCCCTGTTTTTTTTTTTTGTGATGTTTGGTTGGAGAAGAGCAGTTACTAAAAGTTTCTGTCTTGCTAGACATCTCCTCTCCTAGACCTTTGGATCAAGGCATCCAGCTTCTCCTGGGGCACTTTTTCTTTGTACCAGTTTGTTTTCCAGGTGGCCATCTTCTCCAGTGCCCAGTCTGGAATATGTGAGATGACAAGAAAACTTTAAAAACTTATTGTTGTATTCTTGCTTAGATTCTAAAACATTTAGCTAGTTGATCCTTTTTTCTCCATCTTGCAGAGTCTTCTTATGTTTGTTTTATATATAATGTCCAGGATTCTTACTTGTATTTACCAGGAAGAATAGAGGAAAAATACTTCAACTCTATCTTTCTTGACGCAAGAGTCTCTTAAAATTTATTTTTTAGTTCTTCAAACTTGATTTCTTAAATGATATCATGACTTTCAGTTGTTACATCATAATAATAGGTGTAAAGTTTATAGAAAATACCTTTGGAAAATTCTATTAACATCTGTCACATACTATAACAAGCGTATATTTTTAAAGAGTCACAAAAAACTAGAGAAGAAAATGTTACTAACTTTTCAGTAATACAAATACAAAGTATATTACAAATGCTTTTCTGGGATATATTTGTATATCATGAAGGAAGGACATTATGTTAACTTAGTTCTCAGTAAGATTGGAAAATCCTATAAATAAAAATACATTTAAATGTAAATGAAGGTCAGCTTATACACTTAATGAGTATTATTGATGAAAGTACACAATGATAATGGTAAAAGACAACCCAAAATTTCCTTTTAGATTAATGACTCTTACAGTATGCCAAATTAGTGATAAATAATAAGACAAGGTTTTAAAAAATTAATTTCAAAACATTTAAAAGTTATATTTTATGTTGCTATAATAATGGAGGTTAATACTGTTAGGGTGTTGCCAATTCTACTATAACAGTGAAGTTACCAGAATAATATTATGGAACATTGGGTAAGATCAGCAGAAATTTGTTGTTGTCATTGGTGTCACTGTTGTTGTAAAAAGTCCCCTAAATATTTTATTTTCTGAATTTTTAGCTGCAAGTCCATATTGGTAATGCAAGATTACTTTTTCTAGCAAGTAAATAAAGATAAATAGCATTTAGTATATAGTATTGACAATGACTGATTTTTATTTTCCATTTCAGATGTTGGGTTTCAATGCAATTTATCTATTTTTTAAAAAGATTTTAGCCGGGCGTGGTGGCGTGCCCCTGTAGTCCCAGCTACTCGGGAGGCTGGGGCAGGAGAATGGCGTGAACCCAGGAGGCAGAGCTTGCAGTGAGCCAAGATCGCACCACTGCACACTAGCCTGGGTGACAGAGTGAGACGCCATCTCAAAAAAAAAAAAAAAAAGATAAAAAATATCTAAGGCATGGAAGTTCATTAAGCTGTCAACTAATTTTTACCAATTTCTATTTAAACACAACAATAATAACTAACAAATTTATATCAATGTATTCAGTTATGACTAGCGTTAATAACTTATGTACTGGCAAAATAGGAAATAGCTGAGTAGCCACGATCAGAGAGGTAGAGGGGTAATGTTCAGTTTCTAGAGTCAGGATAGTCTTGCTTCTAGTCTGTGTCTGTTACTCACTAGTTGTATGACCTTGGCAATTTACTTAAACCTCTTGCCTTAAATTCTTCATTAGTAAATTGGAATAATCATACATAATTGATACAAATGGATATCACTATTTCCAAATATCTCCTGAGGGGAAAAATGGAGAATGAATCCTGGAGCACTGAAGTGCCTGGTTTCAGGTGATCCCAGCCCCAGATGATGCACATTCTTCCTGGTGTTCAGTGGTCCAGTCTTTCTTCAGACTTCAGAGATAGACGAATTTGCCATTTTGGCTTCAGCAAGTCAAGTTGTATGGTTTTTTAGTCATATAAGGCTGTCTGATTTATACTGATTAATTATATTAGTGACAATATTTCTCTAGTCAGCCATTTTAAAACCTAAGATTGAAAAGTGGTCAATTTATAAGGATGGGAGAAATAAATACGTTGAGAGAGTGAAAAAGGCAAAACTATGGTTACCCTGAAGAGGTGAACCCCCAAAACACTGTAATAGCAGAAAACAGTAAGGCAGTTTGATAAGCATTTTGCAAAAACATGATCTATTGAATATTGGTAGGTTATGTAAGAGGTACATAGACATGGTCCTACTTTGCAAGGGGTTCATCATCTGAGTCCTAATTTAATCAGCTACTCCGTCTGCTTCTTTCCTTTTTGCTCTTTCTTCTTCACTCTCTTTCTCAATCTTAATATCCTCATAATTGTTTTCAACATTCAAATCTCTGGCTTCAAATTCTTTTACTTGAATTGGGTAGTACCTCAATAAGATTTCCTGGCAATAAATCAGAATTTTAAAAGCTCTAACAGTTTTCTAGCTGCTTCTGACCATAAGGTTTTTCATACATATTTTATCAAAATAACTCCTAAGTATGATTTTTTTTCTTTCTAGCCCTATGGACTTCTAGTATTTTTGCTTCTATAAAACCTGCCCTTCCTTCATGATGTGATCTGAATACCAAATTGCTTCAAATCGTCTGTTCCAACTAGCCTGTCTAGAGCATAAAGTCATTGGATGTACCTTTAACTTAATGTCTGAAAAATGTCTTAATAAGTAGCTTTATTTTAAAACAAAAACCTAACAACGAACAAGGTCATGTTCTCTGCAGCAACATGGATGGAGCTAGAGGTTATTATCCTAAGCGAACTAACACAGGAACAGAAAACCAAATACTTATGTTCTCACTTATAATGGGAAGTAAACATTAAGTACATACAGACATAAAGAAGGAACAACAGACATCTGGCCCTACTTGAGGGTGGAGGCTAGGAGGAATGTGAGGATCAAAAAGATACCTTTCGGGTACTATGCTTATTACCTGGGTGATGAAATAATTTGCACACCAAACTCCCATGACATGTAATTTCCTGTATAGCAAACCTGCAATTGTACCCCTGAACCTAAAATAAAAGTTTAAAGAAACCTACGTAAAATACATTTAGTACTATAATGAAGCTTGAATATATTGCACATGGTGATGAATGATAGAGATAATGCAAATTTCTCTTAACAAATTACTACATAAAAGAAATAAAAAGAGAAGAAGAAAACGTATAAGAAATCTGTGTTAGGGAGCTGGAGATAAAACACAAGTTGGTAAATCTATAATCATCAGCATCAATTTTGAGGATACCAAGAAGCGTGTATGGCCTATAATAATTGAAGACAGTTTACTTAAACATTTTAGTTCATACTGACATATAAGAGGTCTCCATTACAGTTAGCTCCTATGTCAGTAGTTCTCAAAGGATGTGCTGACTAGCACATCTGAATTCAAGAATCTGGGCTTTAAACAAGCATCCAGTAGATGGTTTTCTAAAATAAAGTTTTAGAATAACTTGCCTAAGCTATGTAAAAGTAACCCAGGGTCACTATTATATTTGAATCCAGATTATAGACATCTCTAATCCAGAAATTTTTACATTTAGCTCTTTGAAAGTTGTTCCTTATCCTAAGATTTGCAGTACTTGTACTGGAAGCCAGGTTGAAGAGAAATAATAATTAGGGGAAAATCAGGGTGTTACATGTCTTAAATTGTCTATCCTCAGCTATGGCCAATTTCATCATTGTATTTCTTCTATTTCTTATCATACTCAGGATTCAAAAGTACAATAAAGATTACTTATTCATTTCTTGAGCAAAAAAGTCTTGAATATGAACAACAAATTTACTATAAGGATGGTCACCAAAAATTATTTAAAAGAAAGAAAAATTAATAACTTAAATGTACATCTATGGAAGAATGGTCAAATATGATAAAGGCACAGGTATGGGATAATATTTAGCCAATATAAATCATGTTACATAACAGAATTTAATGTTCATTATATACTGATAAGCTAAAATAAAAGAAAACGAAAATGGTTAGAGTTTTCTCTTATATCTTAGTACAGGCAGAGATAGGATGGTCTTTTTTGGAACCTAATCAGACTCATCAATTTTTTTTCCAAATATAAGCAACTTATTATCTACATATCTGGTTTATAAAGCATGCAAAACTATAGTCCCTGCACTTCAGACCTGTGTGAGGAGTCTGTTCAAGCAGAAGCAAAAAGAACAAAGCTGGAGGCATCATGCTACCTGACTTCAAACTATACTACAAGGCTATAGTAACCAAAACAGCATGGCATTGGTACAAAAACAGACACATAGACCAATGGAACAGAATAAAGACGTCAGAAATAAGACTGCACATCTACAACCATATGATAGTCAACGAACCTGACAAAAACAAGCAATGGGAAAAAGATTCCCTATTTCATAAATGGTGCTGGGAAAGCTGGCTAGCCATATGCAGAAAATTGAAACTTGACCCCTTCCTTATACCTTATACAAAATTTAACTCAACCTGGATTAAAGACTGAAATGTAAAACCCCAAACCGTAAAAGCCCTGGAAGATAACTGAAGCAAAACCATTCAGGACATAGGCATGGGCAAAGATTTTATGACAAAAACATCAAAAGAAACTGCAAAAAAAGCAAAAATTGACAAA